>NC_000002.12:187792648-188095678 GCF_000001405.40 Homo sapiens
CATCATTTAAATATTCTATGTTTTTCTTGCTGCCCCCATTATGTAATAAGAGACATACTTCTCATGATGATGAAAGTCAGTAAACACTGGCAGTGTGTTAACTCTTTTCCTTGCCTGCTAGTTAACAGTCACAGGAGCCCAAGGTGAAAAGGATGTTTTAAATTTAGTGGGGATGGTGCTGAGTCCCCCACTGGAAGTAGTGGCATTCTAAGAATCAAATCCTTTAGAACTACAGAGCCTAATATTAAATAGAAAGAAAAAAAAATTCCCCAAGTACATTACCAGGAGTGTCAGACATATGTAGTCTACACTTTGGGAAATAGAGCTGTATAATGAATATTGATATAAAGAATATATTGTACACAAAAGGGTAGTATACCATCACCTCAAGTTCTCACACTGAAGCTGATGCTCAGATGCACTTTAAAAAGACTGTTTCATTGCTATCAGACCAGAGATGCTATCACATTGTAATTTTGATTTGGATTTTCTTAATGACTAATGGTATTAGGAATCTTTGCCCCATGCTTATTTGTCATCTGTTTTTCCCCTTTTGAGAAATTTCTATTCAAATTCATTACTGATTTTGGAATTTGGTTTACATGCCTTTTTATTATTGAGTTAAGGATGTTCTTTTTGTAGTCTGGATATCAGTCTCTTATCAGATATGCAATTTATAAATATTTTCTCCTATTCTGTGGTTTATCCATTTTATTATAGTATCATGCAATATAAAGGTTTTAATATTGAAGAAGTCCAATTTATCTATTATATCTCTAGCCTCTTATGCTTTCAATATCATATCAAAGAAACAGCTGCCTAATGCAAGTTCACAAAGATTCACTCTTATCTTTTTTTCTAAGAGTTTTATAGTTTTAGGTCTTACATTTAGTCTCTAATTCACTTCCCAGCACCGCATGTTGAAACAATTGCTCTTTTCTTACTCAATTATCAAGGTATCTTTATTTAAAATCATAATAATTTTAAATACATAAGTTCACCATAAATATGAGTTTAATTTTGTATGTTAAACTTTGTTCCACTGATCTATATTTATATTTGTGTCAGTATCACGATGCATTTATTACTGCAGCTATGTACTAAATTTTGAAATCCACAAATGTGAGTCCTCCAACTTTGTTCTTTTTCAAGATTTGTTAGCCTATTTTAGTTTTCTTGCATTTTATATGAGTTTTAAGATCAGTTGTCAATTTCTGTTAAAAGGTAAACTGGTATTTAGATAATAATCATATTGAATGTAGATAAATTTCAGGATCTTTACCATCTCAACAATATTAAGTTATCAAAAAATATAAAGACCAGAAGAGAGATCCCAGAAATAAAAGCAAACATTTATGGTCAGCTGATATTTGACAAGGATGCTGAGAACACAAAGAAAAGAAAAGATAATCTGATCCATAAATAATGTTCAAAAAATTGTCTATCCATATGCTGAAGAATAAATTATACCCTTATCTCACACCACATGCAAAAATCAACTAAAAATGGATTACAGACTTAAACATAAAAACTGAAGCTATAAAGCTACTAAGAGAAAACATACGGGTAAAGCTCCTTGACATTGGTCTGGGAAATAATTTTTTGGTAATCACATCAAAAACACAGGCAACAATAGCAAAAAACAGATAAGTAAGATCATGTCAAACTAAAAAGTTTCTGCACAGCAAAGGAAACAATCAAAATAGTGAAAGGGAAACCTACAGAATGGAAGAAAATATGTGCAAACCATATATCTAATGTGGAGCTAGTATTCAAAATATATAATCAACTCATATAACTCAATAACAAAAAATTCAAATAACCCAGCTTAAAAATGAGGAAAGAAGATCCTGAAGATATTTCACTAAGGAAAGCATACAAATGACCAATAGGTATATGAAAAGGTGCTGAACATCACTAATCATTCGGGAAATGCAAATCAAAACCACAATGATATATTGCTTCATACCTCTGTAATTCAGTATTATCAAAAAGACAAAAGATAAGTTGATGAAGATGTAGAGAAAAGGGAACACTTGCACACTGTTGTTGAGAATGTATTATAAATTAGTGCAACCATTATGAACAACAGTATGGAAATTCCTCAAAAAATAAAAACTAGAACATAGAATGGAAGCACAGAAAGATGGCCAAATAGAAGCAACTTACCAGTATTGAATCATGAAGAAATTCAAAACCTGAACCATAATTAAAAATCTTGCAGCAAAGAAAAACTTGGGACCTGAAGGTTTTACTGCTGAATTCTATCAAACAATTAGAGAAGAACTAATACCAATCCTACTCAGACTGTTCTGCAAAATAGAGGAGGAGATAATACCTCTGCACTCATTCTACAAAGCAAATATTACCTTGATACCAAACCCAGACAAACACACACCAAAAAAAGAAAACTACAAACCAATATCCATGATGAATATTGACGCAAAATCGTTGACAAAATATTAGCAAACTGAATTCAACACCACATTAAAAAGATCACTCATGACCAAATCAGATCTATCCTGGGATGCAGGGATGGTTCAATGTATGCAAATCAATCAATGTGATACATCATATCAAAATAATGAAGGATAGAAAACCATATGATTATTTTAACTGATACTGAAAGAGGATTTGATAAAATTCAACATCTTTTCATAATTAAAAAAACAAGCAAAAAACTGGTTATAGAAGGAATATATCTCAGCATAATAAAAGCCATATATGTCACAAACATAGCTAATATCATATTGACTGGGGAAATACTGAAAGCCTTTCCTCTAGGATCTAGAATATAACAAGGGTGTTCATTTTCACCACTGTTATTCGGAATAGTACTGGAAGTCTTAGATTAACAATCAGAAAAAAAAAAAGAAGTAGAGCATATACAAATTGAAAAGAAAGAAGTCAAATTATCCTTGTTTGCAAATGATATAATCTTATATTTGGAAAATCGTTAAGACTCCAGCAAAAATATTTTAGAATGAATAAACAATTTCAGTAAAGCTGCAGGATACAAAATCAACATAATAAAATAAATGGCATTTCTATATGTCAACAGCAAACAATCTGAAAATGAAATCAAGAAAGTAATCCTATTTACCAAAGTTACAAATAAAATTAAATACCTAGGAATTAACTTAAATAAACAAGTGAAAGCTCCCTACAATAAAACTATAAAACATGGATGAAAGAAACTAAAGAAAATACCAAAAATGGCAAGGTATTCCATATCCATGGATTGGAAGAATCAGTATTGTTAAAATGTCCATACTACCTCTATTATTCCATTCTTGCACTGCTATAAAGAGAAAAGAGATGGGGTAATTCATAAAGAAAAGAGATTTAATTGTCTAATGATTCTGCAGGCTATATAGGAAGCATGACACTGGCATCTGCTTGGTTTTTGGAGAAGCCTCAGGAAAATTGCAGTTATGGTGTAAGGTGAAGGGGAAGCAAGCATGTCACCTGGCAAGAGCAGGAGCAAGAGAGAGCAACTGGGGAGGTGCTAACACTTTTAATTGACAAAATCTCATGAGAATTATTGTGAGAAGTGTACCAAGAGGGATGATGGTAATTATTCATGAGAAATCCATCCGCATGTTTCAATCACCTCCCACCAGGCCCTACCTCCAACACTGGGGATCATATTTCAATATGAGATTTAGGCAGGAGCACACATCCAAACTACATCACTACCCAAAGCAAACTACAAATTCAATGCAATCCTTATCAAAATACCAAGAACATTCTTCACAGAAATAGAAGAAATAATCCTAAAATTTGCATGGAACCACAAAAGACCCAGAATAGCCAAAGCTATCCTAAGCAAAAAGAACGAAACTGGGGGAATCAATCACATTATGTGACTTCAAATTATAAAACAGAGCCATAGTAATCAAAACAACAAGGTACTGGCATAAAAACAGACACATAGAACAGTGGAACAAGATTAAAAAAAAACCCAGAAACAAATCTTTACATCTATAATGAACTCATTTTTGCCAAAGTTGCCAAGAACCTACACTGGGGAAAGGACAGTCTCTTCCATAGATGGTGCTGGGGAAACTAGATATCTATATGTAGCAGAAAGAAACTAGACCCCTCTCTCCATAGACAAAAATCGTATCAAAGTGGGTTAAAGATTTAAATGTAAGACCTCAAATTATGAAGCAACAGCAAAAGAAAAATTGAGGAAAATCTCCAAGACATTGGACTTGGCAAATATTTCTTGAGTAATACCCCACAAGCACAGTCAATCAAAGCAAAAATGGACAAATGGGATTACATCAAGTTAAAAAGCTTTTGCACAACAAAGAAAATAATCAATAAAGTGAGGAGACAATCCACAAAATGGGAGAAAATATTTACAAACTACCCATCAGACAAGAGATTAATAATCAGAGTATATAAGAAGCTCGAACAACTTTATAAGAAAAAAAGGAATAATCCAATTACAAAATTGGCAAAAGACTTGAATGAGCATTTCTCAAAAGAAGACATACAAATTGCCAATAAGTATATGAAAAGGTGCTCAACATTATTGTTTGTTAGAGAAATGCAAATCAAAACAAAATGAGGTATCATTTTACACCACCTAGAATGGCTTTTATCCACCGGGCATGGTGGCTCATGCCTGTAATCCTAGCACTTTGGGAGGCTGTGGTGGGCAGATCATGAGATCAAGAGTTCAAGACCAGCCCTGGCCAATATGGTGAAACCCCGTCTCTACTAAAAATACAAAAATTAGCCAGGCATGGTGGCATGCACCTGTAATCCCAGCTACTCAGGAGGGTGAGGCAGGAGAATCACTTGAACCTGGGAGGCAGAGGTTGCAGTGAGCCAAGGTCGCACCACTGCACTCCAGCCTGGCTGAGAGAGTGAAACTCCATCTCCAAAAAAAAAAAAAAAAGGCTTTTATCCAAAAGACATGTGATTTAAAAAATGGTGAAGATGTGGAGAAAAGAGACCCCTCATACACTGTTGGGGGGAATGTAAATTAGTGCAACTACTATGGAGAACAGTATGAAGGTTCATCAAATAACAAAAGATGGAACTACCATATGATCGAGCAATCCCACTACTGGATATTGATCGAAAGGAAATAAAATTAGTAGAGATATCCACACTCCCATGATTATTGCAGCACTATTCACAATAGCCAAGATTTGGAGGCAACCTAAATGTTACACTGATAGATGAATGGATGAAGAAAATGTGGTACATATACATAATGAAGTACATATTAGGTCATTATATGTTATGAACTCAATAATACATTGTTATAGTTATTATTTTATATAATCTTATATCTCTTAAAAAACTCGAAAAAAGAAAGGAGAGAGAGTATGTGTTTGTAGAATTGTTACATGTACCTTTTATTTACCATTTTTTATTCTTTGTATTTCTTCCATTGAATTATAGTTGCTGTCTGTGTTATTTCTTACTCTATACAACTTTTCTCCTACCCACCTCCTCTGTGCTGTTATTGTCAAATATATTATTGTCTAATGTTTTAAACCCAACAATCCAATTATATACATGTATTTTATGCAACTATTCCTTAAATGAGTTAAGAAAATGAATAGTAATAATTATCCAATTATACTGTCCTTTATACTTACATAATTACCATTATTGGAAATTTTTTATTTTTTAATGTGTTTTTTTATTACTACCCAGTTTCATTAGCTTTAAGCCTGAAGAATTCTTTTTAATATTTTCTTGTGAGTCTGCCAGCAATAAATTCCTCAAATTTTGTTTTTCTGAGAATGTCTTTATCTTCATTTATTAAAGATAATATTGATGAATATGAGATACTTAGTTGACAGTTTTTTTCATTTTAGCACTTTAAATATATTATATCTTTGCCTTTTGGCTTCTGTTGCTTCTCATGAGAATTCAGTTTTTAAACTTTTTGGGATTCCCTTGTATATCACAAGTCATTTTTCTCTCTGACTGCCTTCAAGACTTTGTCTTTGGCATCAACATTTTGACTATGTCTAAGTGTGGATTTCTTTGTGCTTAAAATATTTAGAGTTCATCAAAATTCTTAAATTATCTGATCAATGTTTTTCATCAAATGTAGAAAGTTTTCAGTCATTCTTGGAATATTTTTCTGCCCTTTTCTTTCTCTTCTTCATGGTTTTTCCATTATACCTTTGTTGGGGTACTTATTGGTGTCTTACTTTTCTCTGTGGCTCACTTCATTTATTCTTATTCTTTTTTCTCTATCTTCTTCCGATTACATAACCTGTATTGCTCTATCATCAAGTTTGCTGATTCTTTCCTTTGTCAACTCAAATCTACTGTTGAGCCAATTTAGTGAATATTTCATTTTGATTATTGCATTTTCAACTATAAAATTTTCATGCGGTTCTCCAAAAAACAATTTCTCTCTCTTTCTATTCATGGAACATTATTGCCATTTTTCTTTAATTTTTTTTAGACACGGTTTCTTAGTTCTTTGAATATATTTATAGTGGCTGATTTAAAGTCTGTGATAACTGCAGTATCTAGACCATTTCCAAATAAGTTTCTATTATCTGCTTTTTCTGTATATGGTTATGATTATCTCTGTTTCTGTGCATCTCAAAATTTTACGTTGCAAATGCAGCCTTTCAGATAATATATGGTAGCACCGCATGTTGCTGATCCCATTCACCCCAGGTTATGTTGTAGCTTTTTCATTGGCCATGTATTTATTTGCTTAATAATATTTAGTTGCCATTAAACATTTAAATAATATTTTATTTGTTTAATGGCTAGACTTTCTGCAGAGTCATTTCTCAGTACGACCATGTGACTTTTGATGTACTCGCTCAGAATTTTTCTTATTTTAATATTTCAGCCTGGTTATGTAGGTATTGTCCCTGGATTAGCATAGGTCATTTATTATTCAGGAGTTGTGCTTAATCCCTCTTCACCTGTTAGATTTTTAATCTTTATCATTGAACGTATTTGTGGTGTGGAGGCTGCTGTTAAGAGTCAAAGGAATCTGTTTTTGCCACGTCTTCACGCAAGTATGAGTAGCTTAGATTTTACTTCTCCATTCACTCCTGGAGGGCAACATCTTGGCCATACATACAATCTTCCAGGTTGCCATGGATACATGTAATGTCATTTTAAAGCTTAGTTTTCTAGGAGTTGCCCCTATGTCAAAATAGCTTTTTGTTTAGCTAGAAAATGGTCAGAGGTTGTGCTTAAGCTCTTGCGCCACTGAGACTTCTGCCCTTTGCTGATGCCCGTTGTTGTGGTTAAGGAATTCTTTCAAATATTCTTTACATTCTGCCCTGATTACTCCTGACAAGGTACAGTTTAGAGCATATAGACAGCCCTTCCAACCCTGTTGGCTGTCATCACAGGATAGACCTTCTTGGCTCACTCATTCTCTGCTTCTCTATGATAAAATTCTGATGCTCAGCAGTTTTGCTTATTAATACTTGTATCATGGAGTTATAGATATGTCTTCTTAATTGCCCTTCCCCAAAAACTCCATTGCTTTTAGCAGAATCCTTAGGCATGAAATCCTCCATAATTTATTACAAATAAAATTAGTTTTCTCATGTAGAGCTGTGGAGCTCTTCGCCCTTAGGTATGACCTCTCCAGCTTACCTCTCCCCATAGGTAGAACCTCTGCACTACTACACTAGAACTGGGCACAGGGACAGTAGCCTACATTTCCTGGAGTGACAGCTCTGCTTCGAGAGTGTAGGTTGGAAGGGGCTCTGGTCTTCTTGCCTTGCCTCTCCTGGTATGTAACCTATGCCCTATGAGTGAGCTTGTAGCTATTGTATAAGAGAACAGAATACAGTATTCTTGGTCTGTTGCATCTAGGGTAAAGCTTCACCCTTGTGATTAAAGGCTAGGTGAAGCAAGGGTCCTCTCAACCGCACCTGCCTGAAATACAACTTACATGGACTTAACATGGCTGAGGGTGGAATGAGAAATTCTTACAGCCTGTTCGCTCCACCTGCAAGTTGAAACCAAGGCCCCACCTGGAATCTGCAGGAGAGAGAGGACCGCATCTTCTTGGCTTCACCTTCCTATATTAGAGCTCCTGGAGTACTTTTTTTTCATAAGATGGAGCCTATGAGGGACGGGTGAGAGGTGGAGGTGGGGGTGAAGGTAGTTTGTGGTTCAAATGCCACAGATCCTTACTATCCTAGACAAATTTAGAAGATTTTCTTGAATAAATGTTACTCCTTTGTTCTCCATATGCCCACAAAAATTTTTCAGCTACCTCAGAGTAGCTTCTCCAGAAATACAGAGTTAACTCAAGGCAACGGCAACATGAGACACCTCAATTTGAGGGAAGCTTGTCCAAAATATTCCCCACCTCAGCTCTGAGCAAGTTGAATCTTTTCCCTGCAGCCTACTTGATTCTCAAAATGTCCCTGATTTGGCCAGTGGTTGCTTGCTTGAGCTGGCTCCTGTATCTTTTTGATGTGTCTCTCCCATTGTTTGAATATCTCTATTTTCAGGCACAAAAAAAACAATGTTTTATGTTCATGTGAATCAGGCATTTCTCCAAGGAGTTCTAATTCCTTTCTAAAGCAGTTTTAAGAGTATTAAATATAATCTCTAAATGTTGGGAGCGCTAATGGGATTTTCTTTCCATTCTTTCTTATTAAAATATTTTGGTAAAGAAATTTCCTATTGCCCACTCCAAATTTATCTGAGCCAAAAGGGGCTCAGATAAATTTATCTGAGTCTGACTACATATTATTTTCCCATTTAGCCTAGCCTTGTCATCATGCATTTTAACCAAGTCTTCACTAAAATAACTCATTAGCACCTTTTCTGTGATGTCAGTTTTCAAACCTGTAACAATATAATCTACTTCTTTCAAAAAGTTATCAAACTTAAAGAAAACTGAATCTGGAGTTTAAAAAATATAAGTTATATTTACTTCAGGGAAAAAATATCAAACTGTGTCTTGCAACTGCAGAAATTCAACCCATAACCCTATTTCATTTTCTATATTTTTCAGCTTTCTGAAAGTTGATCCATAAGTATAGTTACTTAAGTCATAACATCAGAAATAGACTTGGAATGAAAAAGAAATATGTCAATATGGTGTCTACATATTTTTCTTAAATATGAAAAAATAAAAGTCAAATTATTAAAATGAAGTGGTAGGTAACATATCACTTTTTTTAGTTTGTATAATGCAGGACTTTAAAAGCTATTTATTAAAAGAAATGAAATTACATTTTTATTGTTCTTCAAGCCTCTTCAAGGCCATTCTTTCAAACTAACTTTAGATACTCATTTATTCTACACTTGATTCATTACTGAATTTTATTCCAGTTCTTTGCCCTTGTGTTTGAGGTGGTCATCTCAGATGGTTAGCTTTTTTTCCTCATGAAACATTTTTCTTTATGTTGTAATGACTTCATATTTTCTATTATAAATTCTTTGGAAGTTAGCCCTAGTAAATAAAATTAAATCTAATTTTCTAAAATGTCTTTATAATTTGTACTCAGTTACACTTGATGGTAAGCAGTATTTATTGAACATACAATTCTAATGAAAATTGTCATAGTTATCTGTTCTCTGAAATTCTCTCTGGTAAAATTCTAATCTATCAAGTTTAAAGAAATTGATTTCTCTCATTTACTACCACATTGCTGAAGATTTAGTCATTGATTTTTTTCTCACAAATATAAAACCTAAAAAGAACATTATTTATTTACTTATTTATTTCTATTTATTTATTTATTTAATTTATTTATTTATTTTTGAGATGGAGTCTCACTCTGTCACCCAGGCTGGAGTGCAACGGTACGCGGTCTTGGCCCACTGCAACCTCCACCTCCCGGGTTCAAGCGATTCTCCTGCCTCAGCCTTCCGAGTAGCTGGGACTACAGGCCCGTACCACCACACCCAGATAAGTTTGTATTTTTAGCAGAGATGGGGTTTCACTATGTTGGCCAGGCTGGTCTCGAACTCCTGATCTGATGATCTGCCCGCCTCGACCTCCCAAAGTAGTGGGATTATAGGCGTGAGCTACCGTGCCTGGCCAAAAGAACATTTTTTAAAATCACCTTTTTGGATGCAGCAGAGGATAAACATATGACTATTTTAAAACAAATACTTAATAATTAAGTAAATCTAGATGATTCTTAGTATTTTAGCTAAAATTTTTTTACCGCTTTGTATTACTTGATTTGTTCATAATTTAAAAGGTTGAAATTACAAGAACGTGGCTTTAGAATGTCCAAGACATGAACTCAGTATTTACATACTATGCAGGTGATTCTGGGAAATCCTTTAGCATGATGGATCCTTTTTCCACTAAAAAATAGGATAGGCTGGGCGCGGTGGCTCACACCTGTAATCCCAGCACTTTGGGATGCAGAGGAGGGCGGATCACGAGGTCAAGAGATTGAGACCATCCTGGCCAACATGGTGAAACCCCTTCTCTACTAAAAATACAAAATTAGCCTGGAATGGAGGCACGCTACTGTAGTCCCAGCTACTCGGGAGGCTGAGGCAGGAGAATGGCTTGAACCCGGGAGGTGGAGGTTGCGGTGAGCCGAGATCGCGCCACTGTACTCCAGCCTGGCGATAGAGCGAGACTTCCGTCTCAAAAAAAAAAAAAAAAAAAAAGGATAATGACATCTACTTTCTAGAGTTGTATTAATTATATCTTTATGATAACATAATGTGTGTGAAGTGCACTGCCAATATATGATTATATATGTAGGTTATTTATTATTTTTTTGAGACAAGGTCTCGCTCTGTTGCCCAGGCTGGAGTTCAGTGGCGCGATCTCGGGTCACTGCAACCTCTGACTCCTGGATTCAAGGGATTCTGCCACCTCAGCATCCTCAGTAGTTGGGACTACAGGCGAGGGCCACCACGCCCAGCAAATTTTTGTAGTTTTTGGTAGAGACATGGTTTCACCATGTTGGCCAGGCTGGTCTCTTAACTCCTGATCTCATGTCATTCGCCCACCTCGGCCTCCCAAAATGCTGGGATTACAGGAGTGAGCCCCCCTGCCCGGCCATTTAGATCATTGTTAATGAATGCCCATAATAAGCTGTTTCCTTATACAAGCATTTGTCTTCCTTCTAATATTTACTTATGTAACAAAATTTACCTGTAATTTTAATTAAAATGGTTCCACATCTTGTTTCAGCTCTGAGTTTCAAACATAAGGTAACACTAGCTTAAAATAAGTCATATTAAAAAATTCATAACCTTAACTGTATTTTTAAAGCTTAGCATTTTCAATTGCTTTCCACTTTGTATATCTTTTTTAAGATTCTCTGGGTTATATGTGCTTTCTAAAACAGCGCACACATAGCTGTCAAAACTAAACTATGCAAAGGAAAGGTCAGACTTCGACAGATAATTCCTGTTGCCGTGGAAACAAAGTCGGTTTTGGAAAAAGCTGCAAGTTCCTCTAAATAACCACAGATTCAAAAACTTCATGGTCTTCCTTTGACAGGTGTAGTGATGTAAGTATTACCTAAAAAAGGGCCAATTCATGGGTCAGTCCTAAGAATTTTGAATATTGTCACTAATTTATCTGTCTTTAAGAGGCACCTATACATCCTATTCAGGGTCACATTCTTCTAGATAAAGAGCCTCAAATAAAATGAATCAGATAGTTTCATTGAAACAAATTACTTGCTTATTACACATTCTTTTTCATCAATTATCATAAACTTCATTTCTTCTGCTTCATGGAAGAGTGAGCAAGATACTGAATGGCTTTAGACTTACACCTTTCGGATATTTCTTTGTTTTGTTGGGAGAATTTATGTTAGATATACTAGTCTTCTATGCATTTGAGACAAGGGTATAGGAAAATAGGATTTGCACTGATGCTATGTAGAGCCAAGAGGGGCTACTTGAAAGAGATCAATAATGAATTAGAAAATATTTGGGGTTATACTCTTTTTTAGAGATCCATGCACTTGATAAAAAAAAAGTTATTATTAGCAACCAAGGTTGAATTGTATTGGGACCACTTTCCACGTGAACTGCGTAAGATCTGGAATCAATTATTTATGTCTCAACTTGCCTATTTACATAGCAGTATTTTTTTATTAGACCTACACTGATAATAAGCACCTTGGAAAAAGTTGCAGGTAGAAATTTTAGTTACTTGATTACTACTTTTTCCCTCTCACTTTTTGAATTTTTTTCTTTATTTCTTGTCTTATTTTCTTTCTTTCCTCCTTAAATTTGTCAAACTATTTTAATAATTCCACGAGTAAATACAATTAATATGTGAAGTTCATGAGAATATCATTTAAAAATTCAGAAATTTTCAAGTACATATAATTTTGCTTTAATGGCATCACTACTAATTTTGTTTGATTTTTCTTTTTCCAAACACCCATGAAAATATTTTGAATGAAACTTAAAACAGAAAGAACTTTGAAAATATAAAATTTGTATCAATTATTTCTAAAAGTCTAGGAGGAAATGTGTACTAACAATAGTTGAGTTTGAAGAACGAACAAGAATCACAATTAGTTGTTTTACTGCTGGAAAATAGTTTAGAACAAACTACAATGTAGGTGACAATGTAGGTGACTGATAGTCCCATAAGAGATGTAACCTGTTGTAACAATTACTCCTCTCTGATAACTGCACATTGTCAGCCTTCCAGCAGAACAGATACTAAAGTGGAAATTCACAAAACCAAGGCATGGGTTAAGATTTATAATAGTATAGCAGTATTCTAAATGATAACCACTTGAACTAAGGGAGAAAAGGTGGATAAAAAAATGTATGAGAGATGTTAAGGTAGAATTCTACAACTCAATTCTCTTACTTACATGACCAAACCCCAATTTATCCTTTTAGATGAACCCCAAAATGAACACTTAGTGAATTTGAAAAAAATGACTACTCTTTTTCATGCTTCCAGACACTATTCAAATTGCCAATATCCATATCTTATCAGAAGGTAGAGTTCTCAGAATGTAGAATACAGATTTTCATCCTACCATATTGAACTCTATAGCCCTAATGTTTGCTATTGTACCTGTCAAAAAGTCATCATTCAATACATATTTGCCAAATTCAACTGTATTTGTTACTTTCTCAATTGTTTTTGCTTTTCTTTTTTTATCAGCTTCCTCAGGTTGAATACTTTCTCCTTTTAAATCCAGTATTTGGGGTATGCAAGCAAAATCTATAAGATGAAAGGAATTGAGGTTAGTCACAGTCTGACTTTACAATGGTCTTTCAAATAGATAGGGTTCAGTATTAGAGAAGTGCATACCACTTCTTTATGCTTATAAGAGTCACAATAGGGTTTAGCTGTAAATAATAGCTTCAGACATTGAGGATGTGTCTTTGAAAAAGACTGTTGAGCCATATTTTGAGGCGTTTTCTTTAAAAATAAGTTAATTCTCATCTATGGGCACTATAGATAATCTTCATTCATTTTTGTATACTGTATTAAAAGTGTGCAATAACTAAGATATTAGGTTCAGCAGTAAAGTTTGTAAAGTAGTCTATAATAATGAATCTGTCTTGGTATCTATAATAAGTATTAGAGACATATTCAGCCTTAATGAAACATAAAATTCAGATTTACTAGTCAATTTTAGATTCCACAGAAATTATTTATTTTGATATTATAAGCAAAACATCTGTGTTTCTTTTGCTATTTTAAACATAAAATACGAAGTTAACCAAATTTGATCTTTATAAAATAATTATGTCAATAGTATTCCAACTTGTTCTAGAAATTCCAAGTTAGTAAGATATACAGACACATTCCATCATTTTCCTGTATGTATAAATTGGGCTTCCTCTCTGTTATTTCATTTACAGAGAAAGCGTATAATCAATTTAGGACCATCTATCAAACATTTTATCATTGCACCGTAGTTCAAGGTAATCATACACAGGAGCAACAATTTCTGTGATTCTCTGCCAGGATATCACACACACAATATAAATGGAGAGACGCAAACAGGAGACTTCTTCAGTAACTCCTTAGCAGGTATAGAGAACCTCATACCAGTATCCTAAAGTGAAATTGTTAATTACTAGGGGAAAGGATGACAGAAAGAAAGAGAAAAGATAAACTGGGAAATATTCACACAGAAAGAAAACAGTATTTGGAACATTTAAAAAATTACCCAATTTTCTATTTTTTTTTTTTTAGGAAGAAATACGTTAGTACTAAAAATCTAACAATTAAATATGTATGTATGTGTATGTGTGTGTGTGTATATATATATATGCACAAAGCCAAAATATCTCCTCTACCCCTGTCTATTATGTATGCAGAGCCCAATGTCCCCTCTCCTCAACATTTAATCAGTTTGTTTTGTATTTATTAATTCATTAGGTAGGGAGAAACAAATATAATCCTCCAGAGAGAGAAAGATTGCAAAAATTAGGTTGGTACTAAACTAATTGTGTTTTTTGACATGAAAAATAAGGGCCATTAAAAGCTATCTCTCTCTCTCTCTCTCTCTCTCTATATATATATATATATATATAAAATAGGATTTACACTGATACCATGTAGAGGATACATACATATATATGTATGTATATAGAGAGAGTTATATTTGATAAAATAACCTCTTTTATAGATAAAGTAACAAACTATACACATGATTCCACACCTTACTTTTTTTATTAAAGATGTCCTTTGGGACACGTTTTACATATCAGCTTCAATGTGTAAGGACCATGGAAGTCAGCACCCCAGTCCATCTACAGAAAAATACACCTAGACTCAGACCTTACTATTACAACTGGAAAGGGATAATAGATATAAATATAAAAATGAAATACTGTAAAACTTCTACAAGAAAACACAGAAGAAGACCTATGTGACCTTTATTTTGGTAATGAGTGTTTAGATAGAACACCAGGTCATGATCCTTGCAAGAAAAACATTGATAATTTGGACTTTACTAAAATTAAAAACTTCTGTTCTCTGAAAGACATTGTGGAGAGAACAAAAAGACAAGCCATAGACTTGAAGAAAATATATTTAAGCACATATCTCATCAAGGACTTATACCCCCATTATATAAAAATCTCTTAAAATTAACAATAAGAAAAAAAGACACAAATGCACAAATGATCTGAACAGACACCTCAGCAAACAAGAGCTACGAATGGCAGATAAGTATATGAAAAGATACCACCACTAACATTAAAGAATTGCACATTAAAACAAGGAGATACTGCTATACACCATTAGAATGATGAATTTATAAAACCTGATAATACCAATTGCTGGGAGGATGCAAAGCAATAGGAGCTCTCCTTCACTACAAGTGCAAACAGAAATGGGTACAACTACTTTAAGTCAGTTTAACATTTTCTTACAAAGCTAAACATAGTTTTACCACGCAATTTAACACTCACTTAGTATTTACCCAATATATTTAAAAATGTATGTCCATATGACACCTGAAAACAATTATAACAGCTTTATTGATCATCACCAACTTTGGAATCAACCAAATATTCTTCAATGAAAGAAAAGCTAAACTTTGGTACATCCGAACATTGGCATATTATTTATTAATGAAAATAAGCTATGAAGGCACAAGAAAACAGGGAGATAATCTAAATGCATATTGTTATGTGAAAGAAGCCATTCTGAACAGGCTACATACTGCAGGATTCCAATAATATAACATAATGAGATTGTCAAAATCAGAGAGATGATAAAAAGATGAGTGGTTGTCAGGGCATCAGAGGACTATAAGAGGATTGAATATTGAAGTACAGGAGATTGTTTAGGAAAGAGGAAATATTCTGTATGATATTATAATGGTGGACTCATGACACTAGGCATATGTCAAAACATATAGAACTATACAACAGGAAGAATTAATTTAATATATGTAAATTTAAAGAAATTATTTCATATGTCTGGTATCCCAGGATGGAATTCAGAATGTGGTAAAATAATTTAACTCTGTAAGAAATTTATGAAAGTACCTCCCTGAAGGGAATGAGGAAAAGGCACAGGACTAAGTCACTTTGAATTAAGTAGGCAGGAAAACTAAAGTTAAAAGAAAGTACATAAACTACTGTACTCTGTGGGCTAAGGACTCTGATACTGCTCTACATGTAAACTGGGATTGAACAATTAAGCAAATGGATAAAAGATGGCATGAGCCAAGTCTCTATTGAAGGAAGAAGTTACAGATAAGCAAGGGAGGAGGCTAAAATAATCAATGTGGTAATAGATTATAGTTGAAGATGCCATATCAATTCACAATTATCTTAATACAGATACAGGTGGTTTCATAAAAATATTTATAGGTATCTGTATGGACACACGTTAGCACACACACCTATATTCTCCTGATCTGTCAACTGAGAGGGCCGAGAAGCCATGGCACAGCAGTAGAAATGAGCACATTTAGTACTCAAATCATGGTTTCTAATGCTATTTTCTGATCAAAGAAACCAAGGGAATATAGGTGAATCTTGAAAGATCTTTATTGCCAGATAGTAATAGTGTTTAAAAACAAGGAGAGAAAAGAAATAACCCACAACGAATGGTGGAGGTAATATCAAAGAGATGTAGGATCCAACAGAAAGATCTCTCAACAATACGGAAGGCTAAGACAATTTGAGCAGGGTATAAAAAAGTTAGTCCTGGGCCAGGTGCAGACTCATGCCTGTAATCCTAGCACTTTGGGAGGCCAAGGCAGGCAGATCACGAAGTCAAGAGATTGAGACCATGCTGGCCAACATGGTGAAACCCTGTCTCTACTAAAAGTACAAAAATTGGCTGGGTGCAGTGGTGCATGCCTGTAGTCCCAGCCACTCGGGAGGCTGAAGCAGGGGAATCACTTGAACCTGGGAGGCAGAGGTTGCAGTGAGCAGAGATCGCACTATGCACTCCAGCCTGGCAACAGGGCGAGACTCCGTCTCAAAAAAAAAAAAAAAAAAAAAAAAAAAAAAGTCCTGAATTACAATCTGTAGCATCAAGTAAGTATTGAATAAATAAATAAAATGGGAAGAATACAAAAATCTGTGTGCAGAAGAAATCCAAATAATGTATATAAATTCTTATTTCTCAATGACATGGAACATAACTCCCCACTCTTTAATTTTGGCAGCTGATTATGAATTCTTTCCAAAGAGTACAGTGTGGAAAGGGAGAAAAGAGTAACTTTACAGTAAGATTAAGCTGGCAACCACAACCTTAGTCATGTGACCAAGGTCAATATCAATATTATTAAGTCAGGTTGGTAGTATGTGCCTTTGATATGATAAGATGAAAATAGCACTTTTGCTCTGTGGTCTTTCAACTCACAATGCACAACCTCAGTCTAATTATGAAAAAAACCATCATTAAAATCATATTTTGGGGACAATTTACAAAATATCTGACCAGTACACCTCAAAACCATGTAAGACATCAAAAGTAAGGAAATTCTAAAAAACCTCTCACAGCCAAGAGGAGCCTAAGGAGGCATGGACACTAAATGTAATATCATGTTCTGGATTGGATCCTGGAACATTAGGTAAATAAAGGGACATTAGGCAAAAACTAAGAAAGTCTGAATGAAATATGGAATTCATTAGCTAACAATGTATTGAAATTGGTGCATTCATTGTAACAAACATACCTTGCTAACATTAGACATTAATAATAAAGAAAACTGTGTGGGGTAAGTGAGAAATCTCTGTACTACCTTGGCAAGAAGGGACAGCTGGTGTTGGGAATAAGAGCCTGAGTTGGGTCAGGAAGGCTTCTCTATTGGTGTGGCGTGGCCTGGTGTTGGGTGCTACACACAGTAAGGTGATAGAAAAGGGAGGGATGATTATTTTTAAAAAGTAAATAATTAAGGTTATGGGAGGTAGTTTCTCCCTGTCAAAAAGGAAGTTACACATATGGAAAGGAATAAAACTCAAATGAACCTTGAAGAGCTTCCCTGTCCTTCAATCTATCTATGCAGCTCTCTGTATATGTGCCTGCATGTGTAAACGTACATGTATTCCCTAGCTCTGTCTACAGTGAGGACCTGTCTACAGTGCACACACCTGGCACCTAGATATTGGATCCTTGGGAAAGTGGTTGATTCTAGGTCTGGGGCAGGGAGATTACAAGAAAAGGCTAGAATGCACCGTTGTGTCAGAAATAAAGGAGGCTCTCAAAGAAAGTTGGAAACATGAGAAAAAGACACAGAAGTCAGCTTGAACAGGGTCCCACTAGGAAATTAGGACAATTTGAGCATCAAAATATGTAATAATAGTAATGAATTATAACCGATTGGATAAAATAGGAATCCACGAGACCATACTAATATAAACATTTTCATGAACATATCAAAAGTTGCATAAGAAACAAAAGTTGCAAAAGTGCATAAGTACATAGTTTGAAAGTACCTATCCACAAAATATTTATTAATTTAAAAGGAAAAAAAGAGAAAACTGTTAGACACCAACTTGTTCAAATGATCAAATTAAATATAATCAGAAATGAAATAAATTGGCTGCTCTGCCTATGAAGTAGCCATTCTTTATTCCTTTACTTTCATAATAAAATTGCTTTCACTTTTAAAAAAACTAATGAAACAAATAAAAATTGTTCTTTATCTGATAGATGCAATGAGAACATAACGTCTCTTCTGTGTTATTTCTGCTAAGGTATATAACCTGAATCTAATCATAAGGAAACATCAGGTAAGCCTTCCAAACTAAAGAAGGCTGAATACCTGACAACTAAAGCAACCTGAACGCTAATATGTAAGTCTTAACTGGATTATTTTGCTATAAAAGACATTTGCAAACAATTGGCAAAAATTTAATAGGCTCTGAGGATTAGAAGTCAGTAATTGATAAATGCTATATTTCTGATTGGGATGGGTGTTTTATGGTCACATTGAAAGATGTCCTTCTTATAGAAACACACAGTAGAGAATTTGGGAGTGATGATCCATCAGAGTGACCACTTATTCTCAAAAAAATTATTTGTACTGTACACTCAAAGACATGGTTCAATCTCACAAACACGACATTGTATTAAGAAGCAAAAAAGAGCCCACAAAGCCAAAGCAAGACTGAGCAAACGGAACAAATCTGGAGGCATCATATTACCTGATTTCAAACTATACTATAAGTCCATAGTCACCAAAACAGCATGGCACTGGGATAAAAATAGGCACAGAACAGAATAGAGAACTCAGAAATAAACCCAAATACTTATAGCAAACTGATCATCGACAAAACAAACAAAAACATAAGTTGGGGAAAGGCCACTCTATTCGACAAATGGTGCTGGATAATTGGCAAGCCACATGTAAGAGAATGAAACTGGATCCTCATCTCTCACCTTACACAAAAATCAACTCAAGATGGATCAAGGGCTTAAATCTAAGACCTGAAACTATAAAAATTCTAGACGATAACATCGGGAAAAGCCTTCTAGACATTCCTTTAGGTAAGGATTTCATGACCAAGAACCCAAAAGCAAATGCAATAAAAACAAAGATAAATAGTTGGGACTTAATTAAACTGAAGAGCTTTTGCATGGCAAAAGGAGCAATCAGCAGAGTAAACAGACAACCCACAGAATGAGAGAAAATCTTCACAATCTATACATCTGACAAAGGACTAATATCCAGAATATACAATGAACTCAAACAAATTAGCAAGAAAAAAACCAACAATCCCATCCAAAAGTGGGCTAAGGACATGAATAGACAATTCTCGAAAGAAGATATACAAATGACCAACAAACATATGAAGAAATGTTCAACATCACTAATTACTAGGGAAATGCAAATCAAAACCACAATGTGATACCATCTTACTCCTGTAAGGATGGCCATCATCAAAAAGTCAAAAAAAAAAAAAAAAAAAACAGATGTTGGCATGTATGCAGAGAACAGGGAACACTTCCACACTGCTGGTGGAAATGTAAACTAATACAACCACTATGGAAAACGGTGTGGAGATTCCTTAAATAACTAAAAGTAGAACTCCCATTTGATCCAGCAACCCCACTACTGGGTATTTACCCAAAGGAAAAGAAGTCCTTAGACAAAAAAGAATCTTGCACATGCATGTTTAGAGAAGCACAATTTTCAATTGCAAAAATGTGGAACTAACCCAAATGTCCATCAATCAACGAGTGGATAAAGAAACTATGGTTTATGTATGTGTGACAGAATACTACTCAGCCATAAAAAGGAATGATTTAATGACATTTGCAGCAACCTGCATGAGGCTGCAGACTATTATTCTAAATGAAGTAACTAGAGAATGGAAAACCAAACATTGTATGAATTCACTTATAAGTGGGAGCTAAGCTATGAGGATGCAAAGGCATAAGAATGACACAATTGACTTTGGGGACCTAGAGGGAAAGGGTGGGAAAGGGATGAGGGATAAAAGACTACAAATTGTGTGCAGTGTATACTGCTCGGGTGACGGGTGCACCAAAATCTCACAGATCACCACTAAAGAACTTACTCATGTAGTCAAACACCACCTGTTCCCCAGTAAGGATATGGGAGGAATTATGGAAATAAATTTTTTAATGAATACACAATAAATAAGAAGCAGCAAGAATATGAATAAGAAGCAAATAAAAACAATACATTTAGTAGAATTTCATTTTCTAAACTTTAAAAACAGGTAAAATCAAGCTACATTTTCTAGAAAACATACATGATGAAAAAATTTAAAAGAAACAAAGAGGGTGCCATAGAAGTCAAAATAAGTGTTACACTTAGAAGAAATGGAAGGGATCACAAAAAGTTTTTTGACTTGGATCATTGTTACCTGGATGTATACTTTAAGTTATATAGTGATTTGTACTTATTATATTTATGTATATTTTAAATGAAAAATATTATAAGAAATCATGATACAATTAGTTTATACTCTTGAAGTATAATCTCAGAGTGGGAAATGCCTTACTCACTACCATATTTTATCTAATCTATGACGCTATCATTTTTCGGTATCACCAGTATTTTATACCAGAAGAAAAGAAAAAATATCTACCAGTTATAAGACACATCCTAACATCAAGGATACTAACTTGTGGAAAAATGTAGGTCTTTCTCTTAATCACAGCTATATAATACTGTCTCAATAGAGTGTAGTTGTTTTATCTCAGCTTCTTATTCAAAATGAGTTGAATGCTTTGGCAAAATTAACTCAAATACTGTGAACTAAAGATCCTTACTCCAACAAATATATTCCAATTTACATTTTTATTTGCCATCCCAATTCATTTAACAAAGTAAAATGCTCAGATCATTTTAAAATAGAAAGTAAATACAACACTCCTCCTAAGACAGAACTTGAGGAAAAGTCTTTCTGATTACACTTAGATAGTTACACATTCTAATAAAACGAGTCCTTCTTATATATAAAATGTCAAAGTATATATAAATAAACAATTTATATATAATTATGTATATAAAATATATAGTATATATGGCAATAATATATTATTATACTTATATATTATTAACATATAATGTATATAATTATATATATTAATTTATATATAAAATGTCAAATTACTTCGTGTCACTTTTCTACATTTTAAATTGATTTCCCCGTTTCCTTCTATCTTTCCCTCATTGAAGTTCTTCTCTCAAATATGCAAATACTGCATCCCCTTGGGACAGTTTAAAATCAAAATTAATTATGCTAATTATCTCATTTGGGTTGACCTGATTAAATTTAATTAGTTGGTCTTGTTAATTCTAAACATTATCCTCTGGGAAATTTTGCCTTTTGGGTTAAAGTTGTAGAAAATTTAAGTACCCACTCACCCTAACATACTTAGAAAGCATAGCACATGTAGGTGTTCCAATGTTGTGTGTATAGTCATCTAGAAATAGATGATACCTCTAGCCATTGATTTTGTTAAAACGTAGATTTCTGGTGGCAATTTACTGAGGTAAATGTCAAGGTTTTAATTAGTAATTATACTCTTCCATTTAAATCAAGTCACAAAAATATAAAATCATGATATTCTATGTGACTAATACTCTAATAAACTGTTTTATATCCTTATTAATTTTTAATTATTTCTGGAATGTTGTTTTGTGTACTATTGACTCATTCTTAGCTCTTGTGCTACTTCCATTCCCTAATACCTTTCCTCTTTTTACTCTCACTGTTCCATTTCATGGAGCGTCATTGCCTCAGCCTAACAAAATTAATTTGTATTTCTGAACGTTCTTCTCTGGTTTCACTTTTCTTCTCTCATTAATGCTCTCCCAGGTGGACTTCACTCACTATATAAATGGCTTTAATTTCTATGTATGGCCTGGAAAGTACTTAAATCTTCCTTTTTCAGTCTTGAACTTCACCTTGCAATTCATACATATATCTAAAAATCTGCTCAATATATCAACATTGGTGATCCACAGTCATCAAAAACAAAACAAAACAACAACAACAAAAAAACATTCAAACACTGTACTTATCATCTGTACCTATTCTCATTTTTCAGGTCCTAATTATTTCTCACCTGCACTATTTCAGTAAACTTCTTGTGTCTCTTCTTAATCTCCTATCCTCCACCACCTCCAAGTTCATTACGTCCTCTAACACCTTCGAGTAATGATCTGGTTTGCTTAATTTGAAAGAGTAAACTTGTTTGTGTCACTTTCTGCTCCTTTGCTTAAGATAAAAAAAATCGATCTTTTTCACCTACAAATAAAGTCTAAGTGACTCAGCAAGAATCTGTAAGTCTAGGTCCCATTTAGTGACCTTCTCCTATCAGGGCTTCATTTTGAAATGTATACTTTAAATGATAGCAAGCCTTTTGTATTTCCTGGCACAGAAATTTAAGTTTTGAACATCAATGAGTGTGTTGTTTATTGCTGTCTATGCCTGATGTGCTATTCTTAACTTTTTAATGGTTTTTATATGCAGTTAATATGTTGTTATTTGCTAACAATAAGACAAAAAGTGATTTAAACAATACAGGTATGTAGAAAGTTAAAACAAAATTATCCTAAGCCTGTCTCCTATCCTACTGTTCCAGTCAGTAATCACTGGCTTAAAAAAAGTGATGCATATCTTCCAGACTTTATGTAACTACCTATCTGTCTTAAAAATTTGGATTTTCGCTCACTCCATGTCAGATATAGATATATCCTGATGTGTGTGTATATATATGCATACATGTATATGCATACACACACATGTATATATGCATATGCATACACACACATGTATATATGCATACGCATACACACATGTATATATGCATATGCATACACATACATGTATATATGTATATGCATACACATACATGTATATATATATGTACATTTTTTCTTTTTATAGTTATAGGGTAAGGCATACGGTATTATTTGATCATTCTGCTATTGGCAGATATTTGGTGGCTTTTCTTTTGGTTTATTATTATTACTATCTTCTTTTGGCTTATTATTATTATTAGTGCAATGAATGGTCTTGTATTTCCACTGGCCAAACTGGATTTTTTATTCCAGTTTTTAAAAAAATCCAGTCTGATAAATATGCCTCTCATAAATATCTACTGATTACATGATATATATAGAGACAGCATTTTCTATTAAAAACTCTTTAAATATTATTTTGCAAATGACTTTGTCTCCTATTAGAAATAAACTATGACAGTAATTACTTAAGAGATTTGATAAACAATTGCATGCATTATTTTGCTACATGTATATTTTTAATTATTTTTAAAAGTTTTTGGCCAGACATGGTGGCTCATGCCTGTAATTCCAGCACTTTGGGAGGCTGAGGCAGGTGAATTGCTTGAGCTCAGGAGTTTGTGACCAGCCCAGGCAACATGGTAAGACCTAGTCTCTCATAAAAAAAAAAAAAAAAAAAAAGGGTTCAAGTTTAGTCTAATTTTTTTTAATAATTTGAATTAAACAGGAAGTGTGATCATTGTTTAATGCCATTTTGGCCAGATTATTTATCAGAATACATAATAAATAAATGTTATGAGAACTCTATTATAAATGAAATATATTTGAGAACCATTAGATGTTGAACGCAACAAGAAGAAAAAGAAAAATACATTTTTGTGTGAATGGAAAGAAATACTCTTCCTTCCTGGTTCTATTAGTTCTATTGGTCTATGTCAAAATGTTACAGGATTCTTTCAGTGCTACTTTGCCAGCCAGAAATCTCTGCAGCCAGTAGCACCTCTGCCTGGGCTTTGCTCAGCTCTGGGCTTGCCACTGGGCTCACTCCATTCGCTTGGCCTGGCAGCTGCACTCAGCTTGTGCTACCAGCCTGGATTTGACACCCACTATGGCTCTGTGTTTAGTCTGCAGCTGGGCCAGGCATGCTGTGACCTGCTTCAGCCTCGGGTGCAGGTGTCTGGATGAAGGGAACATGGTGGTGCCCAAAAACTCAGAGATGCCAGCAATTGCAGAGACCCAAGGGGTGCTATGGCTCTCACCCAGTGAGTCCTGAGGTCTGACCCCCGAAGGACTGTTACAGTTCTTGTTTTTTCCCACCACCCACAGTGTGGCACATGGGGGTGCGTGTTACAGCTTACATTCAATCTTGCTGCCCACAGTGTGACAAATGAAGGGGTGGCATGTGACACCCAGCAGCTCTTTCTCCCCATTGCTTGGTGAGTGGGAGGGAGGGTTACAGTGTTACAGCCCCTTTCACACTTGTCATTTGGTGGGCTCTGGGTTTTTGTCCCACAGTCAAGAAGAATTAGGTTATGTAGACACTGGTGAGTGAACAAGGTGAAGAAGAATTTTATAGAGTGATAGAAAAGCTTTTGACAATGAGAGGGGACCCAATGTGGGCAAGCCACTGTGTGAGAGGGGGCCGAAAAGTGGGTAACCTAAAGTGTGTCTGAGTCCAGGGCTTTTATGGACTCAGAATGGGGGAGTTTGTGTTGATTGGTCCGTGGGCAGGCCTGGATAAAGCACCATTTGACTGGCTAAAAGGCACTGAGGAAGTTCTCACTCCAATTGTGGACTTTACCCAGAACTGGCAGCTAGGTTTTCAGGCTTTAAATTGTCTTTGGTTTTAAGGTCAGGTTTCACCGGGGACCCGCCCCTGTCTGCCTAGGAATTTGTCTGTCTCCTGCCGCTGTCAAATAACCACAATTTTTAGAATATGTTTGTTATGTTCCATGTTTACAACCCAGGCTTAACAAACTATATTTAAGCTAGATCCTTTATTTTCACACCCATTAGTTTTGTCTTTTTTTACCTCTCAAGCAAATACAGCTGTGAATTCAACTCATTACATGAAAGGTTTATTCACTTTGATTGACGCTCTTTTTAAAAAATCAATAATGATTGTATATTCTTACTAATGATAATAACACATTTAAAACAGAATTATACATTTTACCAGTTTTGTTTCCAAAATAAAATATGAGAGTAAACATCTGAAAAAAAATATCCAAAGAAGGCTGGGTGCATTGGCTCACAGCTGTAATCCCAGCACTTTGGGAGGCCAAGGTGGGTGGATCACTTGAGGCCAGGAGTTTGAGACCAGCCTGACCAACATGGTGAAACCTTCTCTCTACTAAAAATACAAAACTTGACCGGGCGTAGTAGCATGTGCCTGTAATCCCAGCTACTCAGGAGGCTGAGGCAGGGAGAATTGTTTGAACCCAGGAGGCAGAGGTTGCCATGAGCCAAGATTGCACCACTGCACTCCAGCCTGGGCAACAGAGCCAGACTCTGTCTCAAAAAAAAAAAAAAAAAATACCCAAAGAACAAACAAGTTTAAGATGAGTAATCACAAATTTTCAAATAAATCAAACTCTCCTAAGTTTACTAGAGATTTTGGTCAAAGGATACAAAATTTCAGTTAGCTGTGAGGAATAATTTCAGTTAGCTGTGAGGAATAATTTCTAAGAGATCTATTATACGACATGGTGACTATGGATAACAATGTATTGTATTCTTGAAACATGCTAAGAGAGTGGACATAAAGTGTTCTCACCATAAAAATACTCCTGTGAGGTAATGTATATGTTAATTATCTAAATTTAATCATTCCACGATTTATATATGCTTCAAAACATCATGTCGTACATGGTGAAGACATATAATTTTTTATGTCAATTTGAAAAATAAATAAAAGAAAATGAAAGCAGAATACACAGTTTTGCCTGGAGTGATGACAGGGCTTGGGTCAACTGAAGGCATTTTGCCTAGACACAGAGAAAATCGAGAAAATCACTGGTTCTTAAAGACCATAAGCTCCACAAAAGAAAAATCTAAATTTAACTAAAATTTAACTAAAAATGAATAAACTTAGACTATACAAAACAACTTTTTAGTCTCATAAGGATGTGAAGATGTTTCAACTTGTCCATATTAGCTATTGATAACTGTGGAACTGATGGTTTGCATTTTGCTTTAGTGATATCTGACAGCTGTTCCTTTGAAACTACTGATGTAGCAATACTTCACCTATGGAAACAGAAGAGTATGAGAAGCATTTGCCAATAATGAAGATTAGGCTTTCTGGTTCATGCTACTGAAAAAGATCAAATAGATTTTGTTCATTTTAGACCTTAAATTTCACGTAATATAAAGAAACATGTCACATAATTTCCGCTTGGCTTTTTCAAGGATTTTTTCGGAAACAAAATATTGTATTAACAACTGAAAGAAACATGTAAAAGTATTTTAGGAATTATGTCAATAACAATCATAATATTTTCATAAAAATGGTAACAGATATGATGTGACTACGGAAACATAGACCACTTATGATTTAATTATTTCTTGTTTTCTCTGAAATCCTGACTGGTAATCATTAACTTACCATTGCATATGTCTTTTCCATAAAAAAATTCTTCTGCTAGCCTAATGTAAGAGTCCCAAGTTTAAAATGCCTTACTGATATCATTTTGTACAATATTTAGAAATATTTTTTAAAAATCATCCTGACTTCTGCTTTTAGATAGATGGAGTACTTCACAGGATAACAATTCTGCTGAGAACCACCTGAAAAGTCAAATTATTTACTACATATACAGACAGAGATTCACAGAAGTCACTACAAGAAGTAAAATTTTAGAGTATGTCAGAGTCTATCTGAATCTCTTCTGCTGTTTCTGGTTAAACTCCTGTACCTTGTCTAGAGGCTTGAATTCTGGGATTGACCTAGGAAGAAGAGTGCTACAGAGGGACCGAGATGACTCAATGGAGCTTTACATAGTTACAGGGGGCTGGATGGGGAAAACAAACAAGTGAACAAATAAAACCTTCTGTGCTACCTACTACTGCCTAGAAGAGACATATGTTAAAGATGAGGTCACAAAAATGTTGAAAATGAGGGACTGCAAGATATACTGGTAAAATTGAGGCTAAGGCAATACATGTGTATGTAGCTTTACTAATATTGAAAAAAAGTGTGCTTCATGTAAAGAAGAGTTGCTGTAAATGAATTTTTTTTTTTTTTTTTTTAAGACAGAGTCTCACTCTGTCACCTAGGCTGGAGTCCAGTGACACGATCTCGGCTCACTGCAACCTCTGCCTCCTGGGTTCAAGCCATTCTCCCATCTCAGCTTCTGGAGTAGCTAGGATTACAGGCGCATGCCATTGCAGCAGGCTAATTTTTGTATTTTTAGTAGAGACGGGGTTTTGCCATGTTGGTCAGGCTGGTCTCTAACTCCTGACCTCAAGTGATCTGCCCGCCTTGGCCTCCCAAAGTGCTAGGATTACAGGCATGAGCCACCACGCCCGGCGAAAGAATTTTATATCATGATAAAGGAGTTAATAGAAAAAGACAATATGCCAATCTAAATCTGCTTGCATTAAATAAAGAAACTTCAAAATACTTAAAACAAAAATCATCAGAATTAGAAGGGATAGGCAATTAATAAAAGTAGAAGACATTAACAAACCTCTCTAAATACCTGTTACAATTAGTAGACAAGAACTAAATAATCTTCTATAGATTAGAAGATCTAACAAACATAATTAACAAATTCCCTATGTAAAATGCTGTCCCCAACAACCTCAGAACTTACCTTATTTTCAAATGCTAATGGATAATTTACCAAAAGTGGCCAGATGTTGAGACATGCAGAAACCCCAAAAAACTTTAAAACATTGAAGTTATGTAGATTATGTTCTCTTACCAGAGTGGAATTAAAAGTCAATAACAAAATAACAAAAATATATCCTATCTACCAGAAAGTTATGCAACATGCTTATTCATAGGCAAAAGAAAATATCACAATAAAAATTCAAAAAGAAAGTTGGTTAAAAATATACTTAGATAGAGGAAATAAGTTTTAATGTTGAGTAGCCCAGTAGGGCAACTACAGTTAACAAGAATTTATAGTACATTTTCAAATACCTATGAGGAAAGGTTTGGAATGTTCCCAACACAAAGAAATTATAAATGTTTGAGATGATATATAACCCAATTACCCTAATGTGATTTTTACACATTGTATGCATGTATCAAAATATAACATGTACCCCATAAATATATACAACTCTTATGTATCAATTAAAAAATCACTTTCATTTTAATGAAGACAAGATATATCAAACTTGTGTAATGCAGCTAACATATGGTTCAGAACAATTTGTAGCTTTAAATGTATAAATTAGAAAAAAATATATAATTTTCTAACTCAAGAAGCTAGAGAAAGAATAGCAAATTAAAATTTATAGGATGCAAAGGAAAAAAGCTAAGAATATAAATTATTTTAAAAATGCACAATGAAAGAAATGTAAAAGTCAGGCTTTGGCTCTTTAAAAGAATAATAAAACAGATTAAATTTCTAGAACTGCTAATCAAGATATAAACTGATGCCAAAATCTGACAAGGATGTAACAAGAAAGATTAAATTAGAGTAATCCTCATGAATATAGACACAAAAACCCTAAGCAAAAGAGTAGAAAATTGAATCCAGTGATATATGAAAACACAATTATTTAAGCACTAACCTCAAGGAGCTAGAGAAATAACAGAAAATAAAATTTAAAAGAGTTGTAGAAGAATAGAAATACCATTCAAGTGTAATTTTAATTCAGCAATGCAGGGAAGGATTTAATTTCTAAAATCAGTCAACATTATTCACAACATTAACAGAAAAAAAAACAAAAATTATTCAAATGTCCCAATATATGTAATAAAAAGTATCTGGCAAAATTCAACAAATATTTACTAAAGGGAAAAAAAAGAATGAAAACGAAACTAAACAAAAATCTCTCAGAAAATGAGATGAATCTGAACAATAATCTGACCAACAGTGTCTCCAAATTACCTCCAGCAATCATGTGTAATAGAAGAAAAATACATCACTAGTTATTGAGACCTATTATAATTCTATAGTAATTAAAACAGTGTGCTATTGATTCAACGATACAAAATAAGAGACTTGAGAGTCTAGAAGCTCACCCCCACAATATAGTCACATAATTTGTGACAAATTGCTACAATTCAGTGAGCAAATAATAGGATATATATATATGTAATTATAACCCACTATTTATATTTGTATACATATTTATTTATAAAATATACATATGTATGTATTAATATGTTTTAGAACAGTTATACGTTCATCACAAAATTGAGTGGAAAGTACAGAGAGTTCCCATATACTTCCTGCCCCTTACACATACACACCCTCTCTTACTGTCAACATCCCATGTCACAGTGGACACTTGTTACAACTGGTGAACCTTCATTGGCACATTGTTAAAGTTCACACTTGGTGTTGTACATTCTATGTGTTTAGACAAATTCATAATGATATTTATGTACCATTACAGCATCCCACGGGGTAATTTCACCACCCTAAAATCCTCTGTGCTTCACCTATTCATCCTCGCTCTCCCCAACCCCTTGCAACCACTGATCTTTTTACTCTTCAAAGTTTTGCCTTTACCTGAATGTCATATAGTTGGAGTCATGCATTATATATCCTGAGGAAGATGTGAAACAGCAGCAACTTTGCTGCTAAAAATAAAAAATGCTGCAGCAACTTTGGAAGACAGT
The DNA here is from genome assembly GCF_000001405.40 of Homo sapiens. Taxonomy (NCBI): domain Eukaryota; kingdom Metazoa; phylum Chordata; class Mammalia; order Primates; family Hominidae; genus Homo; species Homo sapiens. Next base: position 187,822,598 of record NC_000002.12, read on the forward strand.
TTGGCAGTTCTTACAGAACTAAACTTATTCTTACTGTATGATCCATCAGTTGTGCTCCTTGGTATTTATGGAAAATATTTGAAATCTTATTTCCACACAAAACCTTGCACGTGAATGTTTATAGCAGCTTCATTCATAATTGCCAAAACTTGGCAGCAACCAAGATGTCCTCCAGTAGGTGAATGAACAAATAAACTGTAGTACAACTAGACAATGAAATATTATTCAGCACTAATAGAAGGTGAGCTATCATGTCCTGAAAAGATATGGAGAAATCGTAAATGCATATTATTAAGTGAAAGAAACTAAATGGAAAAAATTGTCTTTTTAACAAATGGTGTTGAGTAGGCAAAGAGTTTGTAAACAAGACCAAAAAAGTGCTAAACATAAAAGAAAATATTGATAAATTGAACTCTATTAAAAATGTAAAACTTCTATTAATCAAATGACATTAAAAGTGTGAGAAGTCAATACATACAATGGGAGAGATATTGGCTACACATATAGCTTAAAAAGAAGAGAGAGATCCAAATATATACAGAACTCCAAATATATAAAAAACATCAAAATGAGAAGGACAAAAAATATAGAGAATAGGGAAAGGACAATGTAATACAAATATACACCCATCAGAATGGCTGAAATAAATATAAACCAATGACAATACCAGTCACCTCTTCCCTCAGTTGGGATAAGTCTGAGATATTCTACTCTATCTCTCCCAGAATTTCTCAACTGGATGGAAGAAACAGTAATTACTTGATAATGTGCCTGCTATGGTCTGGATGTTCGTATTCCCCCCAAAATTCACATGTTGAAACCTAATCCCCAGTACGATAATATTTGAAGGCAGAACTTTTGGGAGGTGATTAGAACATAGGGGCAAAGCCCTCATCAATCAGATTAGTGCCCTTTATAAAAGGCCCCAGAGAGCTTTCTCGCTCCTTCCAACATGTGAGAACACAGTGAGAGGGTGCCATCTGTGAACCAGGAAGAGAGTCTTCACCAGTCACTGAATCTGTTGGCACCTTGTTCTAAGACTTCCCAGCCTCCAGAGATATGAGAAATAAATTTCTGTTGTTTTTAAGCCACCCAGATTATGGTATTTTGTTGTTGTTGTTTGACCACAAAGATATTTATTAAAGTTTATTTTGAATTGGGAAAAGAAGGAAACATTCTAGATGTTTTAGACTTAATACTAAATAAAATTATGGTATATTCATTTTGCAGAACACCATGTAGCCACTGTGGAAAAGAGACTTAACTAAATGGGCATGATGGCTGTTATTAGGGTGATGAAAATCTTCCAAAGCTGACTTATGGTGATGGTTGTCGCACTCAGTAAAGTTACTGAAATAATTTAATTGTATGCACAAAATGGGTGAGTTTTATATTATATATATATTTTTACATTTGGAATTTTTTTAACTTTTATTTTAAGTTCAAGGGTACAAGTGCAGGTTTGTTACATAGGTAAGCTTTTGTCGTGGGGGTTTGTTGTACAGATTATTTCATCACCTAGGTATTCTACTACCCATTAGTTGTTTTTCCTGATCCTCTCCCTCCTCCCACCCTCTGCCTTCTGAAAGGCCCCAGTGTATATTGTTCCCATCTATGTGTTCATGTGTTCTCATCATTACCTTCCACTTATAAGTGAGAACATGCCATTTCTGGTTTTCTGTTTCTGTGTTAGTTTGCTAAGGATAATGGCCTCCAACTCCATACATGTCCCTGCAAAGGACTTGATGTCATTCTTTTTCATGGGTGCATAGTATTCTGTGGTGTCTATGTACCACATTTTCTTTATCCAGTCTATCTCTGATGGGCATTTGGTTGATTCCATGTCTTTGCTATTGTGGATAGTGCTACAATGAACATACGTGTGCATGTGTCTTTACAATAGAATGATTTATATTTCTTTGGGTATATACTCAGTAATAAGATTGTGGGGTTGAATGGTGTTTCTGTCTTTAGGTCTTTGGGGAATCACCACACTGTCTTCCACAATGGCTGAACTAATTTACACTCCCATACACCCTTCCAAGACTGAACCAGAAATAAACTGAATCCCTGAACAGACCAATAATGAGTTCTGAAATTGAGGCTGTAATAAATAGCCCACCAACCAAAACAAGTCCAGGGCCAGATGAATTTGCAGCTGAATTCTACCAGATGTACAAAGAAGAGCTGATACCACTCCTACTGAAACTATTCCAAAACATTGAAAAAGAGAGACTTCTCCCTAACTTATTCTATAAGGCCAGCATTATCCTTATAAGCAAAACCTGGCAGTTATATAACAAAAAAAGATAATTCAGGCCAATATCCTTAATGTAATGAACATCAATGCAAAAGTTCTCAGCAAAATACTGGCAAATTGAATCCAGCAGCCCAAGAAAAAGCTTATCCATCATGATCAAGTAGGCATCATCCCCAGGATGCAAGGTTGGTTCAACAAGGTTGGTATCACAATCAATAAATGTGATTCATCACATAAACAGAACTGAAGACAAAAAACATGATTATCTCAATAGATGCAGAGAAAGCTTTTGATAAAATTCAAAATCCTTGCTAAAATCCTTTAATAAACTGGGTATTGAAAGAACATACCTCAAAATAGTAAGATCCATCTGAGTCTGCTCTGACTTGCGGCAGCCGCCCCCTTCTGCACAGTCATGCCAAGTCAGCGCCTGGGCCTGGAACCCGGCCACAGCCCCTCAGCTTCGCCCACCGCCTCCTGACCATGGAACCCCACAAAGTGAACGAGCTTCGGGCCTTTGTGAAAATGTGTAAGCAGGATCCGAGCGTTCTGCACACCGAGGAAATGTGCTTCCTGAGGGTGTGGGTGGAGAGTATGGGGGGTAAATACCACCTGCTACTCAGAAAGCTAAATCAGACGAAAATACCAAGGAAGAAAAACCTGGTAGTAAGAAAGTGGAGGAAGACTTAAAGGCAGACAAACCATCAAGTGAGGAAAGTGATCTAGAAATTGATAATGAAGGTGTGATTGAACCAGACACTGATGCCCCTCAAGAAATGAGAGATGAAAATGCAGAGATAACAGAGGAGATGATGGATCAGGCAAATGATAAGAAAGTAGCTGCTATTGAAGCCCTAAATGATGGTGAACTGCAGAAAGCCATTGACGTTTTCACAGATGCCATTAAGCTGAATCCTCACTTGGCCATTTTGTATGCCAAGAGGGCCAGTGTCTTTGTCAAATTACAGAAGCCAAATGCTGCCATCCAACACTGTGACAGAGCCATTGAAATAAATCCTGATTTAGCTCAGCCTTACAAGTGGCGAGGGAAAGCACACAGGCTTCCAGGCCACTGGAAAGGAGCAGCCCATGATCTTGCCCTTGTCTGTAAATTGGAGTATGATAAAGATGCTAGTGCAACGCTGAAAGAAGTCCAATTTAGGGCTCAGAAAATTGCAGAACATCGGAGAAAGTATGAGCAAAAATGTGAAGGGTGAGAGATCAAAGAAAGAGTAGAAAGAGTTAAGAAGGCATGAGAAGAGCATGAGAGAGCCCAGAGGGAGGAAGCAGCCAGACAACAGTCAGGAGCTCAGTATGGCTCTTTTCCAGGTGGCTTTCCTGGGGTAATGCCTGGTAATTTTCTTGGAAGAATGCCTGGAATCGGAGGGGGCATACCAGGAGTGGCCAGAATGCCTGGGCTTAATGAAATTCTTAGTGATCCAGAGGTTCTTACAGCCATGCAGGATCCAGAAGTTATGGTGGCCTTCCAGGATGTGGCTCAGAACCCAGCAAATATATCAAAATACCAGAGCAACCCAAAGGTTATGAATCTTATCAGTAAATTGTGAGCCAAATTTGGAGGTCAAGCATAATGCCCTTCTGATAAATAAAGCCCTTGCTGAAGGAAAAGCAACCAAGATCACCTTACAGATGTCACAATAATACAAACCAGTGTACCTCTGACCTTCTCATCAAAAGATCTGGGGTGCTTTGAAGATAATTCCTACCCCTCTCCCTCAAATGCAGCTGAAACATTTTACAGTGGTTTGCCATTAGGGTATTCATTCAGATAATGTTTTCCTACTAGGAATTACAAACTTCAAACACCTTTTAAACCTTAAAAATATTTAAAACAAATTTAAAGCATCTGTTAATTATCATATTTTTATTTGCTAACCATTTTGGATTTTTTTCTTTGAATTATTGGGCAGGGAATATACATATGTATGGAAGATTATTGCTCTAGTTTGAGTGAAATAAAAGTATATTAGTGTGAGGGAAACATAACTCATTTGAGGATAAAGTTTGTGTTGGATATATGGTTCCTGAAGCATTTTGACTTGTCTTTTTAAATGCTTTATCTTTTTCTTTAAAGATTTATATCAATAAAACTAATTGGGACCACCACTATTTCAGTAGGACCTGGGTAGGGACTGGAAGTACTTGGCAGGGCAGCAGCAATCTTGCTGTCCTTTATATAACATGCATACTTTTGCAGATTGCCCTTAAACCTTACACTGTGGTGAAGGGATGATTTTTTTGTAATCCTGCAGTACAGTTGGAGTACTTAGTTCTGCTCTTGTCCAATATATCTAATAAATATTTCATATTATTTCCACATAGGGGAAATAAGGGATTACTTTTCTTTTTATATGTCTTTGTTTAAAATTATCTTTCCTAGTCAAAAAAATGCCCAACTCTGTGTCTGCTTTCTGCTTGTTAAATTTTTCTCCCTTACTTTTCTTGGGCTAAAGACAGGCTTTTTCCACCAGCATCATCACTGTTATCATCATTAACAGCATAATTTTAGAAGCATATTTAATGCTGAGTTTAATTTAATATGTAGTACATATGGTAATTGTATTGTAATACCCACAACAACTGTAGTTTCTTACTTGGCCATGAGAATGCTTTTTTAAGTGTTAGACTTCCACTCTGGCAAAATCTTGTCATATCAAAAGACGTCGGAAAGAGGGATTCCCTTTGGTGTTTGGTCTTCTACTTAGAAAACACCTAGTGCAGTTAGAGTTTATCTTGTAGTATTCCTCTCTGTATTCTGAAGATAATAAGGTTTGAATTAAATTGATCTACACAGAGGGGAACCAATTTTTTTGATCCAGTGTGAATTATAAATGAGATAATTCAGTTATTCATTGTGGAATTCTTGAGACTATGAAAGGCTCATTGTCTTTGTATTCGGCTCTTCCTTAAATAGAGTAACCATACCCCCACCTCTGCTTGCTTTCTTTCCCTCCAATGATAAAGAAAATGATAAATTTAAAAAAAGAGCCATCTATGACAAACCCTCAGCGAACATCATACTGAATGGGCAAAAGCTGGAAGCATTCCCCTTAATACTTGCACAAGACAAGGATGCCCCTCTCGCCACTCCTATTCAACATAGTATTGGAGTTCTGGACAGAGCAATCAGGCAAGTGAAAGAAATAAAGGGCATTCAAATAGCAAGAGAGGAGGTCAAACTATCCCTGTTTGCAGATAACATGATTCTATATCTAGAAAACCCCATTAACTCAGCCCAAAAACTTTTTGTTTGTTTGTTTTATTATTGTTTTGGTTTGGTTTTTTTGTTTTGTTTTGTGGGACAGAGTCTCGCTCTGTCGCCCAGGCTGGAGTGCAATGACACAATCTGTGCTCACTGCAACCTCCACCTGCCGGGCTCAAGCAATTCTCTGGCCTCAGCCTCCTGAGTAGGTGGGATTACAGTTGCCCACCATCATGCCTGGCTAATTTTTGTATTTTTAGTAGAGATGGGGTTTCATCATGTTGGTCAGGGTGGTTTCAAACTCCTGACCTCAAATGATCTGCCCCCCTCGGCCTCCCAAAGTGCTGGGATTACAAGTGTGAGCCACTGTGCCTGGCCAGCCGAAAAGCTTCTTAAGCTTATAAACAATTTCAGCAAAGTCTCAAGTTACAAAATTAATTTGCAAAAATCACTAGCATTCCTATATACCAACAATAGTCAAGCTGAGTGCCAAATCATGAACGAACTCCCATTTACAATCGCCACAAAAAGAATAAAATACGTAGGGATATAGTTAACCAGGCAGGTGAAAGATCTCTTTCATGAACTGCAATGAAAAAATTGCTCAAAGAAATCAGAGATGACACAAATGGAAAAACATTCCATGCTCATAGACAAGAATCAACACAGTTAAAATAGGCATACTGACCAAAGCAATTTATAGATTCAATGCTATTCCCATTGAACTACCATTGGGATTTTTCACAGAACTAGAAAAAAACTATTTTAAAATTCATACAGAAGCAAAAAGAACCTGAATAGCCAAGGCAGTTACAAAAAGGACAAAGCTGGAGGCATTGCTCTATCTGACTTCAAAATATACTACAGGGCTACAGTAATCAAAACAGCATGGTACTGGTACAATAACAGACACATAATGGTACTGGTACATAACAGACCAATGGAACAGAATAGAGAACCCAGAAATAAGGCTTCACACCTTCTACTATCTGATCTTCACCAAACCTGACAAAAACAAGCAATGGGGAAAGGATTCTCTATTCAGTAAATGGCACTGGGAGAACTGGCTAGCCATATGCAGAAGATTGAAAATGGACCCCCTTCCTTACAACATATACAAAAATTAACTCAACATGGATCAAACACTTAAACATAAAACCCAAAATTATAAAAATTCTGGAAGACAACCAAGGCAATACCATTCAGGACATAGGCATGGGCAAAAATTTCATGACAAAGACACCAAAAGCATTTGCAATAAAAACAAAAATGGACAAGTGGAATTTAATTAAACTAAAATGCTTCTGCACAGCAAAAGAAACTGTCAGCAGAGTAAACAGACAACCTACAGAATGGGAGAAAATTTTTACAAACTATGCATCTGACAGAGGTCTAATATTCAGCATCTATAAGGAACTTAAACAAATTTATAAGAAAAAAACTAACAGCCCCATAAAAATTGGGCAAAGGACATGAACAGACACTTTTCAAAAGAATTCGATATTTTAAAAATAGCTAAATAAATTTGTAAAAAACAAAACCAAAAGTATTCCTATTACACATGTACATATACATACATGATTACATCATGAATAATTTTGATTATATATGCAAATACTTTTAATCTTAGTGCAAGCAAAATTTTAAATCTATATGAAATAGGACTTGATTATTAGATTTTTTTCCTGCCTGGATGGCTCGCTAGCCATCTGGTATTAATGTTTCTTAAATTTTCAGTGGTCTTCCATGCAAACAAATATATAATTTTTTAAATCTTTTTTATTTTTATGGATTTCAGGGTACAAGTGAAGTTGTGTTGCATAGATACATTGTGTACTGGGCTTTTAGTGTACCTAATCATAAAAAAAGAAAAAAATCATGTGTCTTTTGCAGCAGCATGGTTGGAATGGGAGGCCATCATCCTTAGTGAAATGACTCAGAAAGAGAAAGTAAAAATCTCATATTCTCACTTAAAAATTGGAGCTAAACAATGGGTACATACATACTTACAGAGTGGAATAATAGACATTGGAAACACCAAAAGGTGGGTCAGTAGGAGGTGGGTGAGGTGTGAAATATGCTATTTGGTTATAGCAGCCCAATCAAAGACAGTGATTCTAATGGAGACCAAGGGAGCTCTTTCTGAAGCTGATTGTAGTCTCGGATTGTGTGCCCATTGCCTGAGGATGTTTGGTTTGTGAAAATATATGGGCCTACAGACTTAAAATTTGTCAACTTTTATATCTATGTCTATATAAATACTTCTACGCAAAGTTTTATAAACAATATGGAAAAAAGATATAAATTAGTAGATATGTGTGTGACAATCCTCACTCAGCCTTGACTCACAGCCTTGAAATAATCAGTGCAGTCTTCCAGAAATGAGAAACCTGACTGCCCTTTAGGTCTGAGGAAAAAAAATAAATGCAGTTTGAATTGCCTTGTTTTAATTTTTTAATTTTTAATTTTAATTTTTATTTATATATAGCCACATACACACTCAAGTAACTTCTAACATCAAGTTAAAAACCATCTCTCTTGCTGAGCCATAGAGAGCTAGACAGACAGGTAGAATCAAACAACACACAAAATTGAGGTAAAAGTCAAGGCAACATGGACTGGAGTATAGCCAGAAAAGTTCTCATGTCCCCACTTCTGGGTAAGAGCCATAATCAGCTGGAAGAAATGGTGTCCTGCAACTGTCTCATGTCCTGCCTAGATATAGGAAGGCAGTTGTGACCTCAAACAAGGCAGTATCTGTAGAGAGTTTGGGGGTCTATTTAAATCTGTGCTTTCTTGGGCAATTTGCATAATCCCCTTCAGAAGGTGGAGGATGACATGAACAGATGCTTTCACTTTTTAATTTTACCATTTTCTATACTACTAAACCAATCTAATTATGCTTGAAAATTTACAGGCAAACTTTCATGTTTCACTGATTCACAATTTATTTCCCTTGATAATGCTAATTTTATAAAAATTTCGTCTTTAGCACTTGTGAAATTTTTGACGAATTAAAATTGGTGAATTGGTGAATATTACAAATTTGCATGCTTCTAACAAAGAAAATTTAGCATGATTAAGACATTTTCTTTTAATGCAAATCAAAACCACAATGAGATACCATCTCACAAAAGTCAGAATGTTGATTATTAAAAAGGCAAATAACAGATGCTGGTGAGGCTGCAGAGAAAAAGGAATACTTATACATTGTTGGTGGGAATGCAAACTACTTCAGCCACTGTGGAAGGCAGTTTGGAGATTTCTCAAAGAACTAAAATAGAACTACCATTCAACCCAGCAATCCCACTACTGAGAATATACCCAAAGGAAAATAACTCACTCGATTAAAAGGACACATGCACCCGCATGCTCATTGCCATAGTATTCACAATGGCAAAGACATGGAATCAACCTACGTGCTCATCAACAGTAGATTGGATGAAGAAAATGTGGTACATATGCACCTTAGAATATTTGGCGGCCATAAATGAAATTGTGTCCTTCACAGAAACATGGATGCAGCTGGAGACCATTACCCTAAGCAACCTAATGCAAGAACAGAAAACCAAATACCACATGTTCTCACTTATACATGGGAGCTAAACATTGAATACACATGAACATTAAGATGTGAACAGTAGAGACTGGGGACCTCTAAACAAAAGAGGAAGGGAGAGGGGTATGCGTTGAAGAACCACCTGTTGGGTGCTATGCTTACAGCCTAGGTGACGGGATCATTGAGACCCCAAGCCTCAGTGTCATGCAATTCACTCATGCAACAAACCTGCACATGCGCCCTTTAACCTATAATAAAAGTTGAATAATTTTTAAAGATTTTAATATTCATCTGAGGAAAAATATTGACATAATTTAGCCTAACGTCTCTGCCGCCATATTGTAGGAATCAGAAAATCTGCCAGGCATTTTTGAACTTAATTTAAATGAGTTGTATGGCTTTGGGCAACTTTTTTCCTTCTGAGTTAGCATTCTCTAAATTGTTTTCCTCAAAATCAAGGGGAAAAATGATCCGCTTAAATAAACTGGAGAAATAGTTTGTTAAATAAGATAAGGATAAAGATTCATTGCTAGAAAACTTCAGAATCTTTGGCATGCTAGTTTTGCAAAATGAACCTCTAGAATGTAACATTCCCAAAATTATTTAAACACAGATTCCATTTTTATATAATACATATCACCATTTAGGGTTTTCTTTGGGGGGGGGGGGTAGTTTAAAAACATTGTTTTAGTACAAAACTTATGTTGACATATAAAGCTAATATAATAACTCTAAAACTATTTTCTAAGTATAATTAAAAGCCCAAGAAAACCAAATTTCATTGGCAGATGAATCGACTAGATAAGGAATAAGAAGTGACTTTATGTTTATTTTGCCATTTCAACTGAATATTAACTTTTATACCATAGGGCAACCACATCTAAAAAATAATTATTTGTCAGTGGCATCATTGCATCACGATAATCAATAACTAATTCTGAAAGAAATTACCAATCAACACTGAACTATTAATGAAGAAATTGACAAGGTACTTAATTGTATCAAGAGCTAAGGAAATTTATCTACAATTCACATATATGATTAATAAATGGATTATCAAAGGTAATTATAGTTGCATTGATCACCTGTTTCAAGTTTATTTTCTCAGATTATTTGTAATGAGATTAATTATCTCTACCTTTGTTTGCATTAAAGTAAACATTTCACATACACAGCAGTGTTTGGAGACCTTAAAGGAATGTACTTTAATGATGATAAGTCAATTTTTATAATCATCCATTTATCTTGAAGCTTTTATTAGTGCATTTTATTTTCTTTCAATAGATTCTTGCACTGAAGACTGTGATGGTAAGTATACTGCTGTTGTTAAATTCAATAATTGATGTTGATATTATTCCGTATGATTGCACAACAGACTGCATAAGTTGTAATTAAAAATCGGCAGCCTGTAGGAGAAAAACCTAATACAGATGGCGGGTTGATGGGTGCAGCAAACCACCATGGCACTTGTATACCTATGTAACAAACCTGCACGTTCTGCATATGTATCCCAGAACTTAAAGTATATTAAAAAAAAAAATCAGCAGCCTGCAGACCAAATCCATCTCCCATATGGGTTTTGTCTGGCCTTTATCTTGCTCAATTGTTATTTCAAAGATAACTTTAAAAAATACACGTTCAAGGACAGGCGCGATGGCTCACGCCTGTAATCCCAGGACTTTGGGAGGCTGAGGCGGGCAGATCACGAGGTCAGGAGATAGAGACCATCTTGGCTAATACGGTGAAACCCCATCTCTACTAAAAATACAAAAAATTAGCCAGGCGTGTGGCACGCGCCTGTAGTCCCAGCTACCCGGGAGGCTGAGGCAGGAGAATCACTTGAACCCGGGAGGCGGAGGTTGCAGTGGGCCAAGATGGCGCCACTGCACTCCAGCACCGGTGACACAGCGAGAATCTGTCTCAAACAAAACAAAACAAAACAAAACAAATTCGAATAACAGCAACAGCAACACATCTGGTCACGTTTGGCATACACCACCAATGGCAGAAGCCAACTGGAGCTGAGTAGAGGATTTCTCTTTAGGCAGAGAAATTGCTTTACAGTTTTCACGTCTGTTCACACAATACACACCTATGCGTTTTCATTGCTTCTGTTCATTTACATGACCTTACAGGTCCCTCCAGATCTGAATTGTAGCAACTGGTATAAAGATAATTTGAACAATAACAACATGCAAAATATATGCTATACATCTGAAAATAAAACATACTATAGTAGAAATATCCCTGAAGGAAGCAATAGAATAATTTGGCTTTAATCTCAGATTGCCCCTAATTTACTATCTAGTAATTGTCAAAACATTGCAGTTTCACTGACCTCAGAAGCTTCTTCTGTGAAATGAGAGTATTTGTGTCTTTTCGGTTTTAAGAAGTCCTTAAGCCTCTAATAAATGTTTTTAAAAATTAATAAATTAAGCCTCAATTTAGAGTGTTTTTTTTTGTTTGTTTGTTTGTTTTTTTTTTTTTTTGAGACGGAGTCTCGCTCGGTCACACAGGCTGGAGTGCGGTGGCGCCATCTCGGCTCACTGCAAGCTCCATCTCCCGGGTTCACGCCATTCTCCTGCCTCAGCCTCCCGAGTAGCTGGGACTACAGGCACCCACCTCCACGCCCAGCTAATTTTTTGCATTTTTAGTAGAGATAGGGTTTCACCGTGTTAACCAGGATAGTCTCGATCTCCTGACCTCGTGATCCACCCGCCTCGGCCTCCAAAGTGCTGGGATTACAGGCGTGAGCCACTGTGCCTGGCCAATTTAGAGTGATTTTTACAACTTTAACAGATACATGCTACCTTCATTAGAAACTGTCAGCACATTAAAACAGTACTGCAGATGTTTACACACAGAGTAATTGTGCATTTACACTCTCCATGAGCAGGGTTAAATTATTGTATTAACCTCGATTTAGCGTGCTAAGAATAATTCAGTGAGAAAAATTAAAGATGAGTGTCTCATGAAGGAATGGAGTAGTTATCACTTTGGTTGCTTAAGTACCAAATATTGTTTATGGAGTCTGATTCGGGGTTATGGTCAGGGTTCTGCAATCCTCTGCAATATATATGGGAGTCCACAAAGGATAGAAGTGGCTTAGTCACCTTAATACCAGGGTACATACACAACACAGAAGCCACTCTTCTGTGAGATTCAGGTAGAAGAGCCACTTATATATACATATGTATATATATGTATGTACACTTATATACACATAAACTTGATGCAGGGCAGGTTCTTGGCTTCACCCAGGTATTAATTCAAGAGCGAGCTGGTGGTGGAAGAAAACAGCCTTATTGAGGCGGCAGCAGTCCTGCAGCTCTGTGACTGCTCCTCCGAAGCAGGGCTACCCCATAGGCAGTATGTGGAGAGTAGCGACTCAGGAGCAGTTCTGTAGTCACATTTATACCCGCTTTTAATGGTATGCTAAGTAAGGGGCAGATTATTTGGAATGAGCTAGAAAATGGGCAGTAACTTCTGGGTATTACCTTGGCAAGGATTGGTAACTTCTTGCTTGTGCCAAGGCAATGGTAAGCTGTCATGGCGCTGTTGGGCATGTTTTATGGAGAAGTGTCTTTTGTGCCTCTTCTAGGCTTTGGCCAGTCTTCAATCTGGTCCAGAGTTGTGGCCTGCCTGCCTCCTACCTCAGACTTATCCATATTTATAGTATGTTTATAGATACATAGCTTTTTTCCTTACGCCATCATAAAACCCACTCCCATTCCCCTTCTCCAGTGTGCATGCACTGTAATGCATCTGTTGTCTTTGAATAGCCATGAATCTGTGAAAACACAGTGTGGTTGCTGCTGCTGGTGGGAATAGTGGTGTGTATGTGTGTTTAATTTGAATAGATATGTTGCTAAAGCACTTATGTTGTACATATATATTGTTATTTTTTAAATTGCCTCTCTTCTACATAAATTTATAGTTTCTAACTGCTGCATAACATGCCACATATACCTGTACAATATTTTACTTTGTTTCCTTGTATGTATGAATCTCCAATTATACTCAACTTCTCATTCACATGAATAATGTTACTATGAATATCCTTATAGATATACCTATTTTAAGTTTCTGTGGGTGAATTTCCCTAGTATGTATCTGGGAAAAGTTTTCCATAGAAGAGGTACATGCTGAATTTCACCAAGTATTGCCAACGCAATATTCTTGTTTCTCCCCGTAATTCCATTCACTTGTTTTGGCAATACATACCCTTTAATTCTATTGATTCCAACAGAATGACTATGGCAATAGCATCTTTCTCCCTTAATATTTTTTCTGAATTTTCCCTCTGCTATCCACTCTGCATAAAATCTGTTATTTCCCCTCATAATTGATTGTAGCATCTCACATAGAAAAGAGTTCATAGGCTGTCTGATTTAATAATCTACATAAAAACATCTCATTAAGAGAAGTATGGCAGTAACTTTTTTTATAAAGTTACCCTCTAATGAAACAAAAATTTGCTACCTCCAAATAGTATCCCCCTTTTTACATTATTTAGACCACTAAGGTATTTGTTTCTAAATAAAATCCTAAAAATTGATTTTGTATAATTTTATACTTTCTTAAAGAAACAAATATGATGACATTTGTTTTGTTTTTCCAGTGGAAAAGCCATTTGTGCTTTCTCTTGAGGCAAAATTAACTAAACTATTTTAGTGTCTATCAGTTTAAGATATGTTTTTCTTTGACACCTAAATTATATCCAGGAAAGTTAATAGCATTCTAATAACGCCTCAACACTTGAAAGTTAATTGTTTGTGTTATTTTACTTCATTGCATTCTTCTCCTTGTTACATTTTGCTAATGTGACTCATTTGATCTGAGAAACTTTTTTGTTTTGTTTCTGAAATGTTTAGAAGTAAAAAAAAATGATAAAATAAGCATATTATGCTTTGATTGTTAAACTTTGTGAATCCTAAACACTATACTACTTGCCTAGAAATAATTAAAATAAATTATATTTTGATTAAATGGGATAATCCCCATACATCTAATTAGTTTAAATAATAAATATCATAGATTAAATGTGTTAAATTATTCATGCATCTAATTAACAAAACACCAATCTATTAAAGAAAGAGCCCTATATCTTAGCATATTAATTATTTTGTTAAGTGCAATATTAAGCATTTGAGAAGTATTTAGGATTTTTCCTAACAGACTTGAGTCTTACACATATTCTTCAATATAAACTTAATTTAGGACCACAATCAACATGATTATTTGAAAAATTTGATGTTTTATATGCTAAAAATCTTAATTATAGTTATTGTTGGAAATATTTGTATTTTGGGGGAAAACTGTTAGAACATGCAACAATTATAAATTACTCAACTGACTTAAGAGACGAAGACAACTTTGTTTGTTTTTGTTGTTGTTGTTGTTTTTTGAGATGGAGTCTCACTCTGTTGCCAGGCTGGAATGCAGTGGCCCGATCTTGGCTCACTGTAATCTCCGCCTCCCGGGTTCAAGCGATTCTCCTGCCTCAGCCTCCCAAGTAGCTGAGACTACAGGCACACGCCATCACACCCAGCTAATTTTTGTATTTTAGTAGAGATGGGGTTTCACCACGTTGGCCGGGATGGTCTTGGTCTCCTGACCTCGTGATCCACCCGCCTCGGCCTCCCAAAGTGCTGGGATTACAGGCATCAGCCACCGTGCCCGGCCAACAACATTTTAAGAAGACTTCCAGTTTACAGAGAAAATAACAACAATGTATTTTAGCAGGGGATGTTTTAAAAAGTAAACTAGTATCACCTGTGTTATAGGTATAAGGTATATAGGTATCCCCATTACTCTGCTTTTTCTTTTAAATGATATAATATTCTGTATCTCTGGGATGGTGGAAGGTTGATTTGCAAAAAAGGAGGAGTAGATATGCACATTATTTTCTTGTTTAAATTCATTAATTATGAGTAAGTTGTATTTTATGTTGTCATATATTTTTAATATTTTATTTTTAAATAAAGGATTCAGAGTCAAATAGTTAAATATTTTAGCTAATTATGAAGATAGAGTTTTCTAAGAATGTAAAGCGACAAGGTAGACATGATTTTATAACGTAACCAAGAGAATTTTAATATATAAGCTTCATATTTAAGTCCTTGTAATAAATTTATATTTATAATGCAAATACATTATAAATATTTCTGATACATTTATATAATGAATTTAAATTTAATTATGGAATTAGATTTTAAAGAATATTATAACCTTAGATCTTCAAACTAGTGAGCATACCCCTGATGGTAAAAGGACATGAATAAATTAAAGAGAATACATTTTAAGATACTCAATTCGAAGATAGTCAATTGCTTTATATACTATGTTTCTTCCAAAAAATAATCTGCAGGAATAATTTTAAAAATAAATTAGTATAACTCTATATTGATATGAAAAATGGAAATATTATTTCAAAGAAGAATGCAAACAAAGTAACATGTTTATTCAGGAGGAGCTTTTTTTTTTACATATTTTATGTAGATGTTGGTGAATGTCAAGTCACAGTTATAAGTAGACATATATAGCTATAACAATGATTAAATTTATATGTAAGTTATGCTTTGTGGGTATAGATTTTAAGTATCTTATATAATGTATATTTATGTAAACTCTAATATGTAACTTCCTATTATACTGCATATGTATACATATATAAAATAATTGGATTCACTTAAATATACTATAAAGTATTTATTTAAAATTTGTAGTGATGCAGGGAGCTGAGATTGCACCACTGCACTCTAGCCTGGGTGACAGAGCAAGACTCCATCTCAAAAAAATAAAAAATAAAAAATAAAAAATAAATAAAATAAAATTTGTAGTGATAAAATATAGACATCTTCCTACAAGTATTTGAGTTAAAAATAAATTATTTTAAGTGTTACAAGAGTTAAAAAGTTCAAGAATAATACAAAGAGAATTTGTACTTATACATTTAAAAATGTGTCAAGGCAAATACAGACACTCTTCCTGATATCTTATCTAGCTACCTTTCTAGTATCTCCTTTATCTGCAGTACTACATTACTACATTACTACTATATCTACATTATCTACTATAGCTTATCTAGTCCCCCCAAAGGTATCAAATTTTTAGCACCTAAAGGCCAATCCTTGGTAATAAAGAGAGAGAATGTGCATATATAGATGTGTGTACGTATCTACCTATCTACATAGAGAGAGAAAGAGTGTGTGTGTGTAAATAGAGCCAGTAAGAAATATGCAAATAGTCATTTTAGTCTGTATTTCAGTAAGTATCTAAATATAGGAAAGTCATTCTGTGCTTGTAATTGATGTATTTACATAATAGGTGTAGCCAACACTGTCAAATCTGTTGATTTTTACCACTTCTTTATGCCACTTCTGCTGCTGTGTGGCCCTTTTGCCTCCTATGGCCATGTCAGCATCTTGATTCTTTTTTCTGAAGACTAGCCACAAGCTACTGGAGCTGTTTTGCCCTCAAAGGGAAGAGAGAGTGGCTGTGGCTGGGAGTTTTATGTTCAATCCACCTCATCCAACTTGGAAAGTCAGCTTCTTCCTTCAAATAAGGGTAAGTCTGAGAACTAATTTACACTCCTAAACTCCCCTGCAGAATCAGATCAGATTGGAGCCACCCTCCCTGAAATTTTATCTGAAATTGAAGTCTTTCTTGGTTTCTTCTTCTCCCCCTTCCTCTTCCTACCCGCTTTTACCAAAAGCCCTTGGGAATAAATTTTTAAACTATGTATTTATTTATTGACAAACAAATATTGTATATCTTTATGGGAAAAATTTTTAAATAAATCAGTTCCCCATAAAGCCACTCCTTAGTGGCTGCTTACAGGGGAACTCAGTTTAAGACCATGGTCTCATGGAATAATTACAACATAGTTCCCTAACTTGCCATCATTAGGGAGGCTTTAAAAGTGTTACAGACACAGAATCCTACATATTTCTTGATAAAAGGGGTCAGATATAAGCAGGAACAGTACCACGACTATGTTAGTGAAGCACATAACTCAGGACAAAGATTAAAGGTCACTAAAAACTGAATAATTAACATGAATAATACTTTAATGTAACATTTAAAAATCAAAATTAATTATAAATATAGCATGATTAAGATTAATTCTAGGAATGCAAGGCTGATTTTACCATTCAAAAATTCATCAACATAATCTGTCATATTAACAAAATAAAGTGAACTTCATTGGAAATTCTTTGGCCAGATTCTAACTTACTAAAATTGAAACAATCAAAGATCTGAAATGACTGAGAAAAACTCTGAACTCTATGATGTAAGCAACATCTACATTTTAATTAAAGACAAGATCAATATTACTGATTTTCTTTTGTCTCAGATTCCAATATGGTTTCATAGCTTTTGTGCTTTGACTTCCAAAAAAAAAATAAATAAATAAAATAAAGAAGATCAAAGGAAACCAAACCAAAGCAGCAGAAGAAAATAAGTAATACCAATAACAGCAAAAATCAATGAAAACAGAAAAACAATAGAAAAAATAAGTGAAATAAAATGCTGGTTATTTGAAAACAATAGCATTCTAGCAAGACAGACAAAGAAGTAAGAGAATGACACCCATTGCCAATATCTAGATGAAAAGAGAGATTACTACTACAGACCCCATAGATATTAAAAGGATAGTAAGGGAATTACTATGAATACAAATGAATTTGACAGCTTGAGACGTGAATCAATTCCTCAAAAAATGCAGACTCCCAAAACTCACTCAAAATGAAACAGTTAGAATAGCCTAGTAACTATTAAAATTATTGATATAGTAATTGAAAAGTTTATCCAATAGAGAAAATTTCAAGTCCAGATGATTTCACTGGACAAATCTACCCAACATTTAAAGAATTAACCACAGTTTTATACAGTCTTTTTACGGAGTTTCACTCTTGTTGCCCAGGTGCAATCTCGGCTCACCGCAACCTCTGCCTCCTGGGTTCAAGAGATTCTCCTGCCTCAGCCTCCCGAGTAGCTAGGATTACAGGTATGTGACACCACGCCCAGCTAATTTTGTATTTGTAATAGAGACGGGGTTTCTCCATGTTGGTCAGGCTGGTCTCGAACTCCTGACCTCAGGTGATCCGCCTTCCTCAGTGTCCCAAAGTGCTGGGATTATAGGCGTGAGCCACCGCAGCTGGCCTACACAGTCTTTTTCAAAAAACAGAGAAGGTAGCAAAACTCCCAATTTATTATACAAGGCTAGCATTACCCAATACCAACACCAAAGGCAGCATACAGACACATGCTCATGTGTACACACACACACACACACACACACAGAAGAAAGTAAAATAAAAAAGAGCCCAGGATTTCTCTTGAAAATATAAATAAAATAAAAATCCTAAACAAAATACTGCAATTCAAATCCAGTATAAATATAGCATGATTGAGTAAGATTAATTCTAGGAATGCAAGGCTGATTTTACCATTCAAAAATTCATCAACATAATCTGTCCTATTAACAAAATAAAGCAAACTTTGTTGGAAGTTCCTTGGCCAGATAAACTATTCTAACTTATTAAAATTGAAACAAAGATCTGAAATGATTGAGAAAATAATTAATTTGATTTATAGACTGGACAGATTTGGCAATCGTAATCTTTATGCTTTTGTTAACAGCTCAAGCAAGTGTGGGAAAAAGGGGACATAATTTTAATGTACTCACTGAGCACAGCAGAAAACATATTAAAAAGCTTATTTTGTCCTTTTTCTTAATCCACCGCTTGTACATTGTATGGAAGAATTAGAGTATTATGCATAATTTAGATACACTTGTCTGCAGAATTATGGTAGATTTTTACCTGGAATACATTTGCATAATAACAAAATAGATCAATAGTTTTAGCTAATTAATGAATAAATATTAAAATCTATTCTGCATTTCACAAGAAATGCTTACATTGACAACTATAATAATGTTTTGGCTGACTTTAACATGGTCTAGTGAATCCTAGCAAAATATCTTCCCAACTCTAAATAGAAAGCACATTCCATACGTGTATGTTAGATATATAATTGTATGTAGAAATGTGGATTTTTTTACATTTAGGATATTAATCAGTATTATAAACATTATTTGTAAATGTAATTATTCTAAATTATCCTTATCATTAATTAATAAGCACTTCAAAATATTTCTAAGATATTTAGTAATTTTTCCTTGTGTGATAAACTTCCTTTAGAGAAATATAGCTATAAGAGGAAACAAAATGTGAGCAACAAAGACATTAAAACATGAAAGTTTCCATATAAGAAACTTAAATAATTGAACAAGCAAAAAACAAATAGCCCCATTGAAAAATGGGCAAAAGACATGAACTAACACTTCTCAAAAGAAGACAGAGAAGCAGCCATAGAAAAAAATGCTCCATATCACTAATCATCAGAGAAATGAAATCAAAATTCCAGTGAGATATCATTTCACATGAGTCAGAATGCCAATTATTAAAAAATCTAAAAGCAACAGAGGCTGGTGAGTCTGTGGCAAAAGGGGAATGCTTATACACTGTTGATAGGAGTGTAAATTAGTTCGGCCACTGTGGAAAGCAGTTTGGAGATTTCTCAAAGAACTTAGAAATATCACTTGACCCAGCAATCCCATTACTGGATATACATCCAAAAGAAAATAAATTGTTCTACCAAAAAGATACATGCACTTACATATTCGTTGCAGCACTATTCACAATAGCAAAGACAGAATCAGCCTAGGTGCCCATCAACAGTGGATTGGATAAAGGAAGTGTGGTTCATATACATCATGGAATTCTATGCAGCCATAAAAAAGAATGATATCATGTCCTATACAACATGGAATACTATGCAGCCATAAAAAATGAAATCATGTCCTTTGCAGAAACATGGATGCAGCTGGAGGCCATTATTCTAAGTGAATTAACACAAGAACAGAAGACCAAATCCCGCATGTTCTCACTTATAAGTGGGAGTTAAATGAACGGTACTCGTGGACATGAAGATGTCAACAATAGACACTGGGGACTACTACTAATGAGCTCCATGTGAGACAGGAAAAGGTAGAGGCATGTTATCAGTCACACAACATTTCAAGGACACATTGGACAGGAGTTTGAATGGCCTGAATAACTGACGTACAGTGTGCAAAGGGAAGCCAGGAGGAATTCTGAAAGCAAAGCTTAAAGACACATATGTTTATAAGTGGTTTAGTTGTTGATTTACATGAAGGCAAATGTAGACATTTAGTACTGCCATCTAGAATCTCTTCAATTTTATTTTATAAGTTCGTGAAGAATGAGAGCATGATGAGAACTGATAGAAAAAGTCATGCCTTGGTCCATGATTTTGTATCAATCAAGGCAAGATAGGAGAAAAGCCTTCTGAGTCTTATGATTCGTTTATATCCAAATGGCTTTGTATGCTGGTTTAATATAAGTGAAGGTGAATTGGAGCAAAAAAGAAAAAATATATATCAATATGCGAAGTGTCTCAGGAAGTCCATGTGGAGGATTGAGCCACAAGAAAGTTGTCATGGAGTCTGGAATGGAGGGGAATTTAATTTTCCATCAGGCACCCAGAGAGGGAAATGAACGTGAATTACTGTAAGATTAGACGGTCCCTGATCTGAAGGAATTCATGTACTTCTAAGTGGGCAACTTTTACTAA
Source organism: Homo sapiens (assembly GCF_000001405.40). Lineage (NCBI taxonomy): Eukaryota > Metazoa > Chordata > Mammalia > Primates > Hominidae > Homo > Homo sapiens. Next base: position 187,843,307 of record NC_000002.12, read on the forward strand.
GAATTTTTTTCTAAGCTGACAAGAAACACGGTAAAATTCAGGTTCTCATTTTTAAAAAACTGGCTTATGCAGACATTCTGGAGAAAGCTAGCGTTATCTTCTTACACAAGGGATGTGCTGCCCCCTTCTGGATAAAGGAAAAGGTAAATTCCACTGAGAAATTTACATTCCTCCACTTCAGATACACATAAGAATGAAAAGCGCCCTCATCTTATTCAGTATTATAAATATGTATGTGTGTACACATAGACCCATATATATTCACTATATATGTAATATTTTATATTGGGAGTATTAAGTGATCAAAACCAAGTAGTGATCAAGTTAAAAGACTAGAACACACGAATGGACTGCTAACTGGCCCTTAGAGTATAGGCTCTATGCTGTATCCCAGCACCTAGAACAGTGTCTGCAGTATAGTAGACTCAAATCACATCTCTAAGAACCCACATCCCATTTTAGAATTCTTTAGTGGCTTCACTTTATGGTTGAGCTGAGCTCCAATTCTTTGGCATGGCATTAAAATTTTTCAAAATCAGATCCTAACCTGTTTTTTAAGCCATAAGGTCTGGTCATTTACATCATCCAGGCTTTACTTTCGTCTACCTGCAAATATTGTTTCAACCACATGTTTTCTGCCCTACATCTTTTCACAAATTGTTCTAATTTCTTAGAATGCCTTTTATCTCTCCCCTCTGTATCACCACTGGTGAAAATCCTTACCATTTAAAAAAAATAAAAATGAATTGCTAATTTATCTGTGAAGTCTTTACCAGTATTTCTTATCAAGATGCTTTCTTTTTCTGTTCCTTCACACTATTTTGATTTTCTTTACATTGTAACAGTTTACATTATCTGCCCCACAGTTTCTTCTTGTTCATCTTTGACAGACATCACTTTTTATTCATCGTTGTATCTACATTCCTTACCAAATGCCTAACATACAATGTAGTCATCCAACTGAATAAATGCTGAGTACATTGATGTGCAAAATCATAATAATATTTTACATTCAAAATGAGTTAGCTGAGTTGAAATTTTTTTAGCAACACAGATGGATTACAGTCAGGTTGAATAAGGTTTATAACACCATGAGAAGAATTAACCATTTTCACTAACTACAATCCAGACTGCTAATGACAGTCATTAATCATAAACCATTCTATAAGAATATTAAATTCTGAAGCATATCACCATGTTCTCTTATATGGGTGTGTGGTGCACTGAATAATGGCTCCAAAATAGCCACACCTTAGTCTTCAGAACCTGTGAATATGCTGCTTTACATACTAAAAAAAAGATTTTGAAGATGTGATTAAATTAAGAATTTTGACCTTGTGGGGTTATCCTGGATTATCCAGGTCCAATGTAACCACGAGGGTTCTTATATAAGGGAGGCAAGAGGAGCATAGTAGAAAAAGAAGATGTCCTTATGGAAGCAGAGGTTGGGGTGATGCACATTGAAGATGGAGGAAGGGACCATGATGCAAGGAATACAGACAGCTTCTGAAAGCTGGAAAACACAAGGAAACTATTTCTCTCTTGGAGCCTTGGGAAGTAATGCAGCTCTGTGTAATGCTTGAATTTAGCTACATAAAACTCATCTCAGACGTCTGAACTCCACAACTGCAAGATAATAAATATTTGTTGTTTTAAGGCATAAAGTTTGTTGTAGTATAGGAGAGTTGAAATTGGAAACTAATATTCCTCCAGTATTATGAGAATAGCTCTTTTACATATATGAAGCCTTTGAATATAACTAAAGTTGGATAAACATATAAATTGTGACACATGTCTTGAGTTTTTCAGACAGACTGTTACTATAGAGTTATTACATGAATGTCACATCATTTAAAAATAATTGTAATTGAAATACAGTACTTAGCCTCTGGAGTCAGGATGCTGACTTTTCAAAATAGGTTTGTAGAACTCTGATGTTTTGTCTCTATATCTATCCATGGCAAATAACTGGTCCTCATGTATTTTATTCATTGTTATGGCCAAAGAGGCCTAGATATTTGCCTACAAATGAAAAATAAATGCATAAAAGTGTAGCCATTAACTGGGCTTAAATTGTTTATTAATGCATTTGCAATCAGATTACAATTTATTCTACATATCATAGACATCAACTGGTCAGTTGGAATAAACAACTAGAGTTGTATAAAGAAATGACTCAGTGGTGTTTTTGAAAAGCTTACAGGTTTATGAGTTTATAGCGTATATGTTAATGGACCACTTTTATAGCTATTTTTATATTTTTGCTACTTATACTTCAGTTTATTTGTGTTGTGTGTGTGTGATATTTCACGTAGTGTCAGAAATTTGTAAATAAATTTTTTTCTCAATATATACCTTAACACTTTAATGTATTCCATGCTTTTATTGTTGTGGGGTAGAACAATAATTTTTTGTTTTAAGCTTATATACTTGAAGATATTTTACTTATTTCTTACTTTAGTAAGCAAAATATCTTCATGCGTATAAGTTGAGTCATGCAAAAATGGCATCATATGTACACACTTTTGCTTTAAAAAATTGGGGGGATTCTATTTTAGAAATGTAACCTGGAACACTAAGTCACATGTAATATGCCATTAAAAATAGTCTACATAATTAATATTTTAATTTAATAAATGTCTTTCATTCAAGCCAGATGTGAAGAATGAATCATGGCTAGCTATTGTCAGGGCACATTTCCAATAAAGCAGGCTACCATATTCTTTCTTCAAAGAAGTTGAGACTTTCTTGGGGAGGAGTGAGGACTGCTTTTCAGAAAATATATATATATATATATTTTTTTTTTTTTTTGAGACAGCGTCTTGTGCTGTTGCCCAGGCTAGAGTGCAGTGGTGTGATCACAGCTCACTGTAAACTCAAACTCCTGGGCTCAAGGGATCCTCTCACCTCAACCTCCCAAGTAGCTAGAACTACAGGCACATGCTACTCTGCTCAGCTGATATTTTTTAATTTTTGTGGAGATGGTGTCTCACACATTGGCCAAGTTGGTCTCCTACTCTTATGCTCAAGAAGTCCTCTTGCCTCAGTCTCCCAAAGTGCTGGGATTATGGGCGTGAGTCACCAAACTAGGCAAAGGAAATCTTAAAACAGAAATGAAGAAAGGAAACCCAACAGATAATATGGCTGTACCCTGCCTTAGAGGATTTGAGAATGACAGCACAGAGGATGGAAACTTTATATTAAGTAACTGTCAATTCTGCCTTGTGAAAGCACTTAATTTCTCAGAAATAAATTTAATCACTTGTTATACTTGCCACTTCCAGAATCATACCTTTTTGTATCTAGATTTTCAAATATGATTTGCTATCATTTCAACTTACCTACTCAAAAATACTCACAAGAAATGTTTCTTTCACTAGACTGAAACTTCCAGACAATATACCTCACCAACTTCCTAATCAAGAGATCCATCTTGTAATTATTTCTCTTCCTTTCCATGTTATGTTCCATTATTTCTATTTTTCATTTCATTTGTTTGCTTCTCTCTCTCATTACTCGTCTGTAAAAACCAAACTCTGCGTATGTGTTTACATCACCTTCACTGTTTCTGCACACAGGTAAGCATTAAGAAAATCAGGCAGACTGGCATTTTTGTGAAATTATAATCCCCAATCTCAGTGATATCCTTCAATTCTGTTGTCTTTCTTGCACATGCCATTTGGAAAATTAAAGTAATCAGGTGGGAAATCCTTCAACTTCTCATGGCTATTTCCAAAAATAAACCTCTGTCTTTACCCACCTACTCCTTTTTTCTTCCTGTCTCCATGGAGAAGGTATGCTTCCTCTTCCTAGATGCAAATGCTTCTACATATACTTGCAATTCATTCGTCTCATGTTTGAGGGTTTGGTCCTTTACAATTACAATGATCTCCCCTCTATTTTGTACTATCAATTCCTCTTTATCTAGTTCATCATTCAAAAAAAAATCCTCTAGTTCACCCATTTTAAGCAAATAAAATTGGACCCTGTGTAGGAAATGAGTCAAATCCAATGAAACCAAACTGCAAAACTTCCTAAAGGCTCTCACTTTACTTTAGATAGAATTTGGACATTTTATCTTGATCTACAGGTACTGAATGTTCTTGGACCCTGCTTGTACTCCCAACCTCAGATAATGCCATTCTGCTCTTTGCTCACTACATGTTTGCCACACAAGCTTTTACATTTTTCAAACATTGAAGTGTTTCAACTAATGAGCAATCCTGGGAGCTTCAGTTGCTATGGGTGTCATGGCCATTCCTTGGCAACCTGGAAAGCCTACATTGCCTGCATTAAACGGGTCCTTCCTCTGCCATTACCTTATTACCTGCTGCAGCAAGATTACTCTGCTACTGAAGTTGCCAGCAGTAGCAAATTTTACCTTTGGACCATGGCTTGGCAGAGTGTCCCTCAGACAACACTGCAGGTATGCTGAGAAAATCAGGAAGATCAGATTATTTATTAATCAGTGTTGTAATCCAAGAGCCATTGTGCCTTAGAGATACCAATCAGACCTTTGGTTACAGACACCTGGACTATCTATAATCTAATTTCCAAACTAGTTAGTCATAAATAGAACATAGGATTCTGAGAGGATAACTAGAACTCTCTTTTGGTACAAGAGATTTGGAAAGAAAAGAATATAATAAGCTAAGTCAGGGAAAAAGAAGAGGGGAAGTCCTGAGCTGCCAGGGTAGGGAGAGATGGCCATATACCAGCACAAAGGATACAGAAGCAGGAGCAATATGAGGTCAACCTGCACCACCCCTTCTACTCAAGTTGCTTTCTCTTGTCTTGTGAGTGTAATAAGCACCAAGAGGGATGGACTTATTGCACTCAGATGCAGATGGCTTTTAACATCAGTGCAACCAAAGGAAAAAGTATGCCATTTTTAATGAGGAAAGACATTTAAGGGATTTCTGAATAGGATATCAGATAATTTCCCTGCAAATTGACCTCTGTTTCTTCTGGAGCCAACTCTACAAATGAGTGAACAGTTTGGAAAACATCAAGAAATCAAAGGCAAGTGACCAAGAACTCACAAAAGAGGACTAGAGGAGTAATACTGATTAGGAGAAACTCACAGGGAAGGAACAGTATTAAGTATGTGAGTCTTCTGTTGTTCATTGCATTTTGGGTGAGCACACAGCGAACTAACAAGCTGGACGTCAGACTGCCAAAATAAAGCCTAATTCTTAAGCTTGAGCTGCACAATTAGTGAGCACCAGCCATTCCCTTGTTGTGATCGGTTACTGGGTTACTGGCATCCAAAACCAGTAAGACATGGCAAACACTTAGCAACAGCCCTACTCTACCAGTCAGCTTTTATGGATGGGGAACACCAGTCGATCCTCTGATGCGATCATGGAGATTCTGTATACGTCTTTTTGTTGACCAAAATTGACTGCCTTAAGCTCTTAGCTATAAATGGTTTCCATGGAGTTCTACAGGAGGCGAATCTCTTTTGTAAGGAGGCCAGCCTGCAGGACAATTACTTTTAAATACATTAACCTTTACTTTCCTATAAACCGTCTCATCCCTAAGAGCCTTTAAAACTTAAAAAGCCAGGAGAAAGATAACCAGATATTTGGGGATAGAAATGTCACAAACCAGTTAAAATAAAGTGTGAGAGTATGGACCTGCCAGGAAGTGGAAGAGAGGAAAAGCAATGAGTTTGCAGGGTGAATGACAAGACAACAGCCTGTTAATGGAAATGACCCACCAAGAGAAAGCCCTATCCGCAGAGTTGATAGCTTCAACCTGTTATGTGAAGTGGCCAGTGAAAATGGAAATCATAGCAGCTCTATCTAAGCAGGTTTCTCAGGTGCTAAAATACAGAAGGCAGAGTAATTGCTTACCTAAAAAACCGAGGGGTCAATTATAAAGAGAATTCACTTATGAGGTAGGAGTTATAGCAAAACCTCAAAGAACTAACCAACACTCTAAAGTTGTAAGTAGGTCAAATTTGTGTTCACCAAAATTACATTAAGTTAGCCTTCTGGGATTATCAGACAGACTTTTCCTTATCCAATAGGTTAAAATGGCTTTCTGGGTTTCAAAGTAATGAGAATATGAGGGCATATTGTCACATTTCCCCAGCATCGGAACACTTGTTTCTAATATTGAAACACAAAATCTCTAATCGACAAGTGCTTAACGGGAAGGGAAATTATTGCTGTTATTATCATTATCATCATTACTATTATTATTATCTCATGTAACAAGAAGTCTAGAAGCAACAAAGTTACAGGATTGGGTCACTGATTTCTGGAAAAACTCTAGTTTCTTCATCTTTTTACTCTGCTCTCCTCAGTATATTGTTTTTATCCTCAAGTTTGTAACCTCATATGACATAACGCCTGACATAAATTTCCAGGCATCTTAGTTTCACAAATTAAATACCCAAAAGTGAGAGGGAGAAAATCATATAAAAAAAATCTCAACATCACTGATCATTAGTCAAATTCAAATCAAAACCGCAATGAAATAATATCTCACACCAGTCAGAATGCATATTACTAAAAAGTCAAAAAATAACAGATGCTGACAAGGTTGTGGAGAAAAAGGAATGCTTATACACTGTTGGTGGGAGTGTAAATTAGTTCAACCATTGTGGAAGACAGTGTGGTGATTCCTCAAAGACCTATAGACAGAAATACCATTCATCCCAGCAACTCTATCACTGGGTATATACCCAAAGGAATATAAATCATTCTATTGTAAAGACACATGCAGACGTAAGTTCATTGCAGCAGTATTCACAATAGCAAAGACATGGAATCGACCCAAATGCCCATCAGTGATTGATAGACTGAATAAAGAAAATGTGGTACATATACACCATGGAATACTCTGCAGCCATAAAAAAGAATGAGATCATGTCCTTTGCAGGGACATGTATAGAGCTGGAGGCCATTGTCCTTAGAAAATGAACACCGGAACAGAAAACTAAATAACACATGTTCTCATTTATAAGTGTGAGCAAAATGATGAGAACACATGGACACATAGAGGGGAACAGCAAACACTGGGGCCTTTTGGAGGATGGAGGGTGGGAGGAGGGAGAGGATCAGGAAAAATAACTAATAGGTATGAGGCCTTATACCTGGTTGATGATATAATCTGTACAACAAACCCCCATGACACAAGTTTACCTGGTTGTATTTTTTAACTTTTATTTTAAGTTTGTTACTTGCACTTGTATCCCCAAACTTAAAACAAAAGTTAAAAAATAAAATAAGGTGCATCCTTTCATTGTGAATTTTTCTTAAATGAAGAACATCCTTCAGAATCTACCAGTACACTTTCCCTCAAACATCGTTGCTCAGAATTAAGTCACATACTTGTTGTTAAAGCAAACACTAACAAGCAGAGAAAATTAGCATGATTTAATTTTAATTTCGTTATACAGGGAGCTCTCCTAGCTGTGAGATACTTTAATGCAATTGAGGATCTATCAAAAAAAAAAAAAAAAAAAAAAAAGCAGGGGCAGAGGGTTGAAGCAGAGGGGAGCCAGGAACTGTTATTAGGCCAGTAATCAAATGTGTGTGCCACAGACTGTTTCCATAGTAAATCATCAGCATTTTCTACATTCTTTAGAGTATTTTTAAAAAATTTTGCCTTGTTTTGTTTTCATATTCTACATATAATATGGTTATTTTATTTTTGGTTCTTTACTGAACTGTAACCATCTGGGCAGTGAGGCTGTCTTTCTACTTTTGAATCACCATGACATATAATATAATACCATGCAAAGAGTAGTCCTTCAATGAATTAGTAATTAACATTTATCTTAAAGTAGTATATAGGTACGCCTCTTTTTGTATAAGACAATGTTCTTCAAAGCTGTGAGTAAATTAATGCTTGTAAATCAAATTCGGTTTCCCACATGTGTTTTTTATTGTAATTAATGAATCCTGTTCTGCATTAATATTCAGTTGACAATATCTAATATTTAAAATGTAAATCTTACTTTTCTTCAAGTATCTGTGTCAAGCAATTAATTATCTAAAAATAAACACTTGGATACATGAGGAAAGCTCATTAATTAAATGATCTTTGAATCTTATCACAAAATAAAAAATCCTTTTTTATCATGAGCTATTGCACATTTGCAAAACAGTGCATATTTAAAAGGAGAGTTTTAAATTTGCTTTTATTTATGTTGACACAACTACATTAAAATGTCAGAATTACATTTTCAAATACACATCTAATTTGATTTTGATGTAAGAACTTATAAATCCAAACCCAGTAAGATAGAATTACTACACTGTTGAGTAATGCTTAAAATCTTCATCATGAGTAGGAAAACATAACAGTTTTTCCATCCATCTTCTTGAGTGTTGTTATACTCACACCACTTCAGTGTTCTACTGAGCTACTCAATTTTAGAACTGAAATACACTTTAGCAATTCTGTAGTCAAACTCAACATATCATCACAATGTCTAAATGTGCCACATATATAGGTACTATATTATAGAAAAAATCAAATTCACCACAGAAAAAAGTATAATTTTTATAAAGAAAAATATTTAACCACTTCATAAATATATTATTATGTACTTGCAGATAATAAAGTTTCAACAGTGGCATGTCGTAGTTTGTGGATTTTAAAAACAAATAAGAGACTTTCCTAAATAATACCTCAGGGTAGAAATATGGATGTGTGCTTATAATTAAGGATGGAAAAGTTTTAAAATATATAAATATTATGAAAATCCTGTGTAAGAGTAAAAGTTTTAGGAAAAAGAATGCATTTTTTCTGAAAACGTTGGTACTGAGTTATCATGTTGTGACAGTTTTGGTTTCATTTACTGAAATCCCTTGCTGTCTTTTTCCTGTTTGTAAAAAGTAATTTTAAAAGTTCACGTAAGACTGGCCAGTGGCCAGTCAAGCTGTTCTATTTGAAGAGGTTATTTAAGGAAATTGCCAACAAAAATTTATTTTTTATTTGTGGTCAATAGTTAAATAAAATACAAATTTCTTCCAAAGTTAGATTTTATTACCCAGAGCTGACAAAATTTCTGTCCAAACAGATGCTATGATTTTAGAATCCAGCCAAATGAGCAGATCACATAGTCCTACACTCCACCCCTGTAGGGGAATGAGGAGAGTGAGGGGAAGCGTGTCAGCGGTGCTAGGGCAAGAGCATATAAGGACATGTTACATTTGAAAAACAAATGTACTGCTCTACCCAACCTCATATTCCATGGAGGAAAATCACACCGGCATTCTCAAAACAAAGTAGAAGTCAAAAGACGTGCCACCCTGTTTCCAATGTACAACCCTGACTCTACATTAGAGTTGCCAGAGGACACCTAAAAATACCAACAGCTAGGATCCATCCTCGGATATTCTGATCAGTTTGTCCACTGTGGGGTCTGGATATTTTTTAAGGACTTTATTTAAAGAAGTTTTGGGTGCATGGCAAAGTTGAGATGAAGGTATAGAGACTTCCCATATACCCTCTCTCCCAACACATGCAAAGCTTCACCCATTATCAGCAGCCTCCACCAGAGTAATACACTTAGAATTTGATGAACTTGCATTGACACATCATTATCACCCAAAGTCCATGGTTTAAATGAGGGCTCACTCTTAGCACTGACATTGTATGGGTTTGGACAAATGCATTATGGCATGTATCCACCACCATTACAGAAAATTTTCACTGCCCTAACAATCCTCTGTTCTCTGCCTATTCATTCTTTCCTCCTTCCTAAACCCTGACAACCACTGATCATTTTACCATCTTCATATTTCTTCTTTTCCAAAATGTTATACAAGTGGAATCACATCGTATAAGTCTTTTCGGGTTGGCTTCTCTCACTTACTAATATGCATTTAAGTCTCTTCTATGTCTTTTCACGGCATGATAGCTCTTTCCAAAATGCTGAATAAAATTTCATTGTTTGGATGTTACACAGTTTGTCAACTCGCCTATTGAAGGACATCTTGGTTGCTTCCAAGTTTTGGCAATTATAAATAAGTTGCTATCAACATTCATGTGCAAGATTTTGTGTGGACATGAGATTTCAACTTCTTTGTGTAAATACAAAGGAGTGTAATTGCTGGATCATATGGTAAAAATATGTTTAGTTTCATAAGAAATTGCCAAACTGCTTTCCTAAGTAGCTGCATTATTTTGCATTCCCACCAGCAATGAATACAAATGCTGGTTAATCTACATCCTTGCCAGGATTTGTGTTGTCATGTTTTGGATTTTGGCCATTCTAATAAAGGTGTAGTTATGTCTCATTGTTGTTTCGATGTGGAACATCATTTCATATGCCTTTTTGTCACTTGCATACATTATTTGGTGAGGTGTCTATTAAAGATTTTGGCACACATTTAAGTGAGTTGTTTGCTTTTTGTTGAGTTTCAGAGTTCTTTGTATATTTTGGATAACAGTCCTTATCAGATAAGCCTTTTGCAAATATATTCTCCCTGTGTGGGTTGTCTTTTCATTCTCTTGACAGTGCCTTTGGCAGACTATAAATTTTTAATTTTAATGAAGTCCAGCTTATCAGTTCTTTCTTTCATGGATTGTGTTTTTGGTGTTAGGCATACATATTTTTTAAAAACAGCCCTAATATTTATAATCTGCAGTCAGAACTGGAAAAAAACACTTTAGAGTTTATCGGGTTTTATCTATGAGGGGGTCATGTATATGGCATTCTGCCTTTAGTCCTATTGTTTCCAGGTTTTGCAAGCCATTCTTTTTTTTTTTTTTTTTTGAAACAGAGTGTCACTCTGTCACCCAGGCTGGAGTGCAGTGGCACGATCTTGGCTCACTGCAACCTCTACCTCCTGGGTTCAAGCAATTCTCCTGCCTCTGCCTCCCAAGTAGCTGGGATTACAGGCGCCCGCCACCATGCCCAACTAATTTTTGTATTTTTAGTAGACACGGGGTTTCACCATATTGGCCAGGCTGGTCTTGATCTCCTGACCTTGTGATCTGCCAGCCTCAGTCTCCCAAAGTCCTGGGATTACAGGCGTGAGCCACCACAGCCGGCTGCAAGCCATTCTTTAATGACTTTTAGCAACCCACTGTAATGAGGTCATGTGATCAACTCCTACAACATACATTCTTCAACTTAGATGTACGAAATCTAGAACATAACTGAAAAGACACTATGGTACTAGAGCAATAACCTTAGCATGATGAAGCAAGATTACATTGGAACTCCGTATCACAGTAATTCCTCCATCCTTTTCTACCCTTTTCTACTCTTTTAGTTGGTAAATTGGTTTATATCTATTTCAGTTCTGAAATGTCACCTAAATGCATTACCATTTTGATAATCTAATGCTACTCACCTAAGAGAAGCTTCATCACACTTCCTCTGGAAAGCCTGTGTATTTTTATGGTTAGAGAATGGCCTCCAGTTTGAAGTCCCAACTCCAGAAGACTATATGTATTATCTTGGGGAAGCCGCTCTAAGTCACTGTTCACCATTACTTTATTTGCAAAATAATGCTACCTATACCTTATAGGGTTGTTGTTAATACACATCATCACTTAAAAAATGATCTGCCATTGTCCTTAGACTTCTCCTAGAGGCCTGCATCTTCTCCCAGGTTATGTCAAGGCAAAACATTTCAACATTCTCAGGATTTCTCATAACAATGTAGATTTCTCTAATCTTCCACAAGAAAAGGGAAAGCTGGAACTTGGGAGGTTATCTCTGTGCCTTATCTCTATCAGTTTTTCCAATCCTGCAAACTCTTAGGGCTAGAAGGGATTTTCCTTATGTCATGCTTGGAGTTCTCTCAACCTTTTGAGTTAAGGTTTAAGTTTGCTGTGACTGGCTGTTGAGACATTAAGAGGAACTTAAAAAAACTGACTCTGTTTTTCAACAATATCTTTCAAAATATCCCTTTGCTATAGAATCACAAATATTCTGGCATTAATTTTGAATAATAAGGCCTACTGTTAGTAAACGTCAGACACCTAACATTGACTGTTTCTTTGCATTTATTTATTTCTCAAAAATAAAAATAAAAATGAAAAAAGAAAATTGTCTCTACCATTCCAAAGAATGCAATTTTATCTTAAAGTTCTCTGAAGTAAGTAAATAAGAATAATCATATATGATTATTCTTTGACTTCTTAATAAAGGCAGCGTTGACCAATGACACAATGTTAAACATAGCTCTAAGGAAAAAGCAGTAATAAGTTCATTATAGTCCTAAAATTTCTAGAATTGGATTAGATTTATCTTGAAAAAAATTAACTGCTAAAATGTTGCCATTTTTGTAGTCTTAATGTTTACAATATTGTTTACATTAGACATAAATTACACTAATGTTTTAAACATTAAGCTTTTTATTCCACTTAGCCTGAAAAAGAGAAAAAAATTAGTGTTAGAGTCTTACTTCTGGTTCAGCTACTAATTTTGTAGTTTCCTAAGATCACCTTCTTTTTTTTTTTTTTTTTTTTTTGAGATACAGTCTTCCTCTGTCGCCAAGCTAGAGTGCAGTGGCGCAATCTTGGCTCACTGCAACCTCCGCCTCCTGAGTTCAAGTGACTCTACTGCCTCAGCCTCTTGAGTTGCTAGGACTACAGGCATGCACCACCATGCCCAGCTAATTTTTGCAATTTTTGGAAGAGATAGGGTTTCATCATGTTGGCCAGGATAGTCTCCATCTCTCGACCTCGTGATCTGCCTGCCTGGCAAAACTCCATCTCTACTAAAAATACAAAAATTAGCCAGAAGTGGTGGCAGGTGCCTGTATTCCCAGCTATTTGGGAGTCTGAGGCAGGAGAATTGCTTGAACACAGGAGATGGAGGTTGCAGTGAGCAGAGCAGCCTGGGCAACAGAGACAGACTTTGTCTCAAATAATCATCATCATAACAATAAATATATATATATATAAAATAAACTCTACTTTTAAGTTTTGAAATGCTAAGCATGTAGTAGAATGACAGTAAAATTGAAATACATATACTTAACTGAAGGCAAAGGCTATGTCTTTCTGTAGTATTTATTATTCCCCATAGCAATTAGCCATATTTTAATTATTCCAATATTAATTGTACAAATATATTCAAAATCTGTCTGGCTTTTTTGAAATCAAAATTTGAAATTAACTTAGAATAAGAAGATAATATTGTGAAAGCTATTTGTAATTTTTAGATTTTTATATTTCTGTGTCCTTACAACTGACTTTTTTTTTTGGTAATACTGTAGGTCTCTAGTAAGTTTACCTTTTTCTAATCTTTTCAGCCTCAGAGAAGGACATTTATTCATTAAGTCAACATATATTTATTAATTAATGACTACATTCAAACAGCTGTTCATTATATACCTGAGTATATAACTAAAGACACCACAAGGTCTCTGCCCTCCTAGAGCTTATATTATAGCTGAGAAAAGCAGGAAACAAACTCATCAGTATATAATATATGTATAGTTCAGATCACTCTAAAAGTCATGGTGAAAACAAAAGTGTATAAATCTAATACAGAGTTGGGGGATGGAGAGATTGATATTGTATGTAGAGTGACCAGAGAATATCTCATTGATGAGTGGCATTTAAGGAAAGACAGAAAATAAGAGAGATGGCTGTGACTTTGGGAGAAAGAAGGTTGGTTCCATGTTGCCACCACTTAGGTAACCAGCATCACCTCTGAGGCTTATCATGTCTGTTCCCCACAAAAAATCGGTAGGCAATCTTCTGACTGGCTCTGATATTGCAAACTGTCCCTACTACCACCTCTCTGTCATGAAATATCATATATAACCTAAAAGAAAATAATTTAAAATACAAAAAGACAGAAAAATTAAGGGGAAGAAGAGAATAAAGGAGAAATGAAAGAATGCAATATTGCCTAATACATGTATTCTCAGAAATAAGAGAAAAATGAAATGAAAAATACATATTTTTGTTTTTGTGTTTTGTGTTGGCGTGTGTGTGCATGTTTGCTTTGCCATATACTTCTGCTTAATCATATTAGACTCAGTATATTTCAGTTAAGTACTTTGAATCTTTACCAGTGTGAAAGAAAGAGAATGTTTTCCTAATAAAACAAAGAGAAAAGGTTGGAAAGTGCACCAAACCAAGTTTGCTCCCGTGTTGAACACTATGACTCTCCATTTATCAATATAACAACCAAAGATGGAAGTGAGTTATGTGTTCATACTTTGTAACGCTAAGGTATGGTAAGAAAGATGAAGTGACAACATTTATCCCATCTGGTGGATGAAAATATTACATAACCTTGCTTGTAAGGAAATCTCTTTTGTTTTTCTTCAAGGAGGTGAACTTTGAGACTATCCTTGGACCGCAATTTAAGCTTGAGACAAAGGAAACTGATTGTGTTATCTCTTTGTAACCCAAACACCTGTAAATCTACTTCACCAAGCTTTGACAGCATCTGAACACTTATTGATCTTAAAATGGTACAAAAACCTTTACTTGTTTGCCAGTCAACAAAGGTTAGTAAGTAGTTAATATAAATTTAATATTCTAAAGAAAATGTGCACTTCTCGTAATCTTACACTTCCTAATCTACTTCCCAGATAACCAAATCACTTTACTTTTTATTCTGGAGAGGAAGTGAGTGGGACACAGATGGTTTGACATATCATTATGCCTTTTTTGTGGGGGTAGTCTTCAGTTTCACATTTTTCTTCCGTCCTTCATTTTTATTCAATTATCTAACAAATAATTACTCTGTGCCTAACATGTACTGGCTCTGGAGCTATGATTGTGAATGAGATAAACATAGTTCATGCTCTTGCAGAGCTTACAGATTAGTGGAGAAAATTCTCAAAAGGCACTAATTATATAATGCCATAATTGCTTTAATGGGGCTAGTATAGTGCATAGTGGAAGCAGCTATGTGGAACACAACCATAGCTGACAAGGGAAAATGGGCAAGGAAAACTTCTTGGGAAAAGGACATCCAAGCTACAATTTAAAATACAGGTAGGAATTAGCTAGGAAAAGCAGCTGAAATATCATGTTCAAAGCAAGATCAAAGATAGGATAGTGGCTTCAGATAAATCCAAGTTGTTGAAAGGAGCTAGCTAAGATAGTGGGTGAAAGGTGTGACGCAAAGTCTAGGCCAAATTCTATACAAGGTTGGGAATCATTTAAAGCATTTAGGCTGAATCCTGAAAGAGGGACCACTGAAGTTTTGCAGGAAGAGAAAGAAGCAGTGAGTTTTAAATGCATTAACCAGATTGGAGGAGGGCTAAACAAAGTATTCTTGTAATAATCCAAGAGAGGGATGATGAAAGACTAAACTAAAAAGGTGTTAATGGTGTTTAAACACTAGAGCTGACATGTTAGAGATGATAGATTGAATGGGCAAATAAATGAAAAGGAGGTTGCAAGGATGGGCCTCTGGTTTCTAATTCAGAAAATATATAATATCTGATGTTTTCCCCTAAGATGAGAAACATAAATTCATCTTTGAACATGTAAAATTTGAGCAATGTGTGACATAGAGTTGCCAACTGACTTTTAGATACGTAACACAGAATCAGGAGAGGTGTGGCCTAAAATATATTGACTTGGGAAAGTAAATGATGATTGAAAGAGTAAGGATGGTCTCAAACAATGTAGTATCTTGAGAGATAGAAGCTTTTTGGTTTCATGGAAGAAGGAGGGGTGGGGAAAAGAGAGAGAGAGATTGAAAATAAAAAAGAGAGGATAAACTCAGGATTAAGCTCCCTGAGACGGCTAGGCAACATAGAATAGAGATCACAAGTAGAAGATATAGCAGCTTTCAAATTGAAGGATACTTCTGCCATTTTAACAGGAGGGAAGGAAAAAGGGATGATTATAGAGATACTTGTGGAGTGATATCAGGAAGATGAATGCTATAGTTTAGATATGTGTCCCCGTCCAAATCTCATGTTGAATATAATCCCCAGTATTGAAGGCAGTGCCTTGTGGGAGGTGATTGGATCGTGGGGGCGGATTTCTCGTGAATGGTTTAGCACCATTCTCTTGGCACTGTCCTCATGATGTTAAGTTCTTGCAAGATTTAGCTGCTTAGAAGTGTGTCCCCTTGCTAGCCCTCTCTCGCTCTTGCTTTCACCATTTGATGTGCCTGTTACCCCTTCACCTTCTGCCATAAGTTTCCTGAGGCCTCCCCAGAAGCCAAACGGATGCCAGCATCATGTTTTCTGTACAGCCTGCAGCACCATGAGCCAATTAAACCTCTTTTCTTTGTAAATTACCCAGTTTCAGGTATTTATTTATAATGATGCAAGAATGGCCTAATACATTGAGCAAGTCCTATTTCCTCTTATTTGTAGAAACCACTGACTGAGCACTCTGAAGGAGAGTTAAAGGTTTTAAGAGAATGAAGAAAATTTCAAACGTTCACTAAGGAGAACGGGCAAAAGAGTTGACTAAGAAAATAGAAAAGGATACCAAGAAATCATTGAAGAAGAGATTAAAGTTAGAGGACATTATTTTGTATTTGTATAAATGTGCATGTTTCCTCAATTTTTCTCCAGCACATACATTACTCTGGGCATGAGCACAGAAAGCAAGACAATTGCCAGGAGAATGTAATGAAAAATGAGTTGAAACACTGAAAAAGATAAAGTACATCAGTGGAATATGAACAGATTAGGAAATAAAATAAAGAAGATGAGTGGGCTGTGGAAATAAAAGGAATCACAAAACTGGAGGCTTAATGAAGTTAAAGAACATGTGGACTAGGAAAACCAAGATGGTTGAAAAGACAGCAGATTGTGAACACACAAAAAATTCTGAGCTTAAATTGTCAGCAGCAGTAAAGCAATATCAAGTAATGAGAATTCCAGCTGTGAGGCTGTATGAGTGATTTGCTGGAGAGGCACAGAATTATAGGTCAATGGAGATAAAGTCATCCATAAACTACAAACAAGGGAGTTGAAGGAGCCATCCAGGGACATTTAGAAATGTGGTTTAGTCAAATGGCATGAAACTTTCAGAAATAAAGGTATGAATACATTATGTTAAATGTCATAAAAACACCACTGTTATGGTATGAAACAACTTCACAATTTCTAAAGGCTTATTTTTCATGCTTTATACTTGATGACTTGATATTAGCTTGTGGTTAATAATTTGTAACAAATATAACATGAATAAAGATGCAACATAAGCTAGGTAAGTTCTATAAACTGAATAGAACATGGAAAATTAGTACACACAGTGCTATGGGGTGATGACAAACTGAAAGCAAGTGTATTGTTTTTGTTTTGTTTTGTATTGTTTTGTTTTGTTTTGTGACGGAGTCTCTCTCTGTTGCCCAGGCTGGAGTGCAGTGGCACCATCTCCGCTCACTGCAAGCTGCGCCTCATGGGTTCACGCCATTCTCCTGCCTCAGCCTGCCGAGTAGCTGGGACTACAGGCACCCGCCACTACGCCTGGCTAATTTTTTTGTATTTTTAGTAGAGACAGGGTTTCACCGTGTTAGCCAGGATGGTCTCCATGTCCTGACCTCGTGATCCGCCCGCCTCGGCCTCCCAAAGTGCTGGGATTACAGGCGTGAGCCACCGTGCCTGGCGAAATCAAGTTTTATAATGATGTTTTCCATTTGTATAATAAATATTTCCGAGTATTAACATTTTATCTTTCATACTTTTTCAAATGTAGTTCTTTTAATACTCCAATTAAGATTTTCTTATTACCTGAGGAAAGAAGTGATTATTAGCATGGCAAAAAACAAGGAATAGAGTATGTTTTGAAAACTGTCATGTTGAAGATTTATTTCTATGTGCGTTATTCTTCTGTAAACATGTAAACAGATAGTGATTAAAAGTAATATAACTATAATAATAATAATTTTACTTTAATAAAAATGCCATACAAGACTCTAGTTTTTTAAGAGCTTGATTACATAAAACATTTCATAGTTGCTTATGTTGAGGATATTATTTCTAAAAACAAAGAATGAATCATATTGTATATAAACAAAATGTATTGAAAGTTGTTATGCTATGAAAAAGGAACTTAAGTAATTATCTGAAATTCTAATGTAAATTCTTTATAAAAACCTGCAGGCATGAACACTGATGCTGAAGACATAGGAAGCCTTTTTCCCCTGATCTGAAATCACTTTTAGTAGAATCAAATGATCTGGGAATGGTGGTTCCAAAATTTTGTTGCTATCACTAGTTTAACTTGGCCTTTATTTTTATTATTACTTCTACCACAAGATGGGTGTTTATGAATGTGAGTGGTATAAATGGACAAAAACCTGAGGTAGCTTTCTTACTACCTCCCTACTTCTAGTTTTGCCTGTCTTCATTTATTCAGATGACTTACATTCATTGCAACTTGTTAACTTATGTATTCACTGATTCATTCATTTATCATTGCTTGTGTACCTGTAAAGAGTGTCAGCTATATTCTAAATCTGTACTGTCCAATACAGTAGCCATACATAGCTATTTAAATTAATCTCAAACTAACCAAAACTAAAAATTCAGTTCTGCAGACATTCTAGCTACATTTCAAGAGCCCAAAAACTCCATATGGCTGGGGGGTAGTTTATTGGCCAGCACAGATATAGAACATTTCTCTTATCATAAAACATTCCATTGGACAGTCCTATTCTCAAGCAGAGGAATGTAGAGATACAAGTTGAAATCTCTGCTGTGAAAGCTCATGGATCATCAGAAAAAAAAATTAAGATAGAAGCATCTTCAAGGAACTTTCGGTTAACAAAGAATAAACATCTAAATGAATCTGAAGAGAACATGAAATGAACAAAATGATGCCTGACATGGATTTAGTCAGGTGCTCAGGGAAAAGCAAGCAAAGGGAATATCATTTGCAATGCTCATGCACCAAACATAACAACGACAACAAAAAAACTATAATTTCAAGGACATACAAATAGTTTGAAATGGCTAGAATGTGGAGTGATATTCGATGAGGTTTTCCAACAAGTCTCATGTTTGGTTTAGTTTGGTTTCATCTACAAAATAGGAATAATAATAGTACCTAACTCTTGAGGTTGATGCTATAATTAACTAATTTTAATATATGAAGCACTTATAACAGCTCTTGGTACTGGCAAGTATTTATAAGTATTAACAATTATTATTATCATTGTTATATAATGTATATTATTTTTAAAAGATTGGAAGTATGATCAGTGACTTCAGAGTAAGAAACAGAGGCACACTCCTCATCAGAACACCATAGCCAGTGATATTCAGGAAAAGAATTAAACTAAAAACCTCCTGATCCTTCTGTTTCTTATGGAGGGAGTGTGAATGGTGGGAAAAGGATGTCACTGCTTCTAGATATGCTGGTGGGGGAAAAGTCACAAACAAATAGGAGAAATAAAAATTAGCTTAGAGTACATAGAGCCAGAATATTTCCTGACTATTGCATGTGGGTGTGTGCTTTTAACTTACAATTATTTTCCTTTTTTTAACTTTACTTGATAAGAAAAAAACATATCAGAAGTATGAAGCTAAAATAAAACTGTGTTTTCACTATTTCTTTTTGTTTCTCTTTTTCCTGGTTCAAAAGAATCAAGATTAAAAACTGCCGAGAATATCCTAACACAGACTGTTCTTATAAGAATTTCAGTCGACGTTTGGAAACTTGAAAGGTTTGGGTGGTTTGGCTAAAGGTCAACCAAGAATCAAACATTTTAACTGCTTATTCAGACTGAACTTTTCAACCATCTCATGTTGTTCTTTTTACTACTATACAGTAATGATAAAAACCACTGTTTTTTTCTTAATTTACTAAGGCAAATATTTGCAAATACTATACAAATAGCAGCATTTAAATTTGTAACTAATTTATTTTTCTTGCATTAAGCTATGAGAGCAATGTAATCATAAAATCATTCATTATTAAAGTGACCAGTTTAATACTTCAAGCTATTTTACTCAGTAATAAAAGAGCTTCAATAACAAATGAAATGTTCTTCTTTCCTGAAGGAGCATAAATTATAAAAGTTTGTGAATTTGATTAATTTTTTGGTAGTTTCCATGAAGTAGTTGGTTATATTTGTGATTGATTGAATATAGGAGGGTTCTGATTTTACATGCAAGCTGATTTTAAGGGGTAAGAAAGCTTTGAATTTTTCTTTGACCCAAATCATTGGCAATAATTTTATGCATCACACTATTACTCTTATCAATTAGGTTGAGATTATCTTTATTAATTGTCTCAGTCACAATGCCCCAAGCCACAACTAGAATTTATAAATCAGAACTGCAGGAGAGGAAACCTGGTCCTCAGAATTTCTTTAAACTCTCACAAGTAAAACTGATGATCACCCTCTTAGAGCAGTAATTTTCAGTATCAACAGACTACCTTCTTTATTTCTGGATGGTAAATATAAAAGCCATTCATTTTGATAAAAGGATAAGATCAAATTTAAAACAAAAGTATTTATATATTACATAATTATAATGCAATTTATATAATAAAGTAATATGGATTTCAAAATATAAATCTTAGGCAGTACTACAGGAAAATACAAATTACATTAATCAAATATGTGTACTTACAAAGCAGTGACCTCCTTTTCCTATCACTCACACTATCCCCTCAAAAAAAAGAAGGGTCAGGAGGTTTTTAAATTGCTTTCCTGAATATCACTGGGTATGGTGTTCTGATGAGGCATGTGCCTCTGCTCCTCACTCTGTAGTAAGTGGTTGATCATACTTCCAATCTTCTAAAAATAATAGTAGAAATATAATAATGCTAATAATTGTTAATATTTATAAACACTTGATAGTGCCAGGAGCTGTTCTAAGTACTTCACATATTAATAATTAATTAAATTTTAACATGAAGAGTAAGAGTTAGGTACTCTTATTCCTATTTTGTAGATTAAACCAAACCAAACCAAACATGAAACCTGTTTAGAAAACTTCATCGAATTATCACTCCACATTCTAGCCATTTCAAACTATTTGTATGCCCTGAAAGTATTATGCTTTTTTTCTGTTTTGTCCGTGAGCATTGCAAACAATATTCCCTGTACCTGCGTAAGAGAGGGAAAATGTCTTCTGTGTACCCTTCTATGTTCTTTGGCCTATGAATTAAATTGACATAAGACAGATTAACAGGAGAAAATTATTTTAATTACATGCGTTTGCACTGGAGTCCCACAAAACATGAGATTCAAAGAAGGGTCAGATGATTGAAGCTTATATGGCATCCTGAGCTACAGAAAGGAATTCCATTCCCATATATGTCAAAGATGTCTCTGCCTGAGAGCTTTTTCTCAACTCACACGCTGTGTAAGGCTAGAAGTGACCACGATTAAACCCTTAGTTGTTGCCACTCATTCATTTATAGAAATGAATTGAAGGATAAGTGTCTCAGGTTTTTTGAAATTTGGATTAGAAAACTTGGCCATCTACCAGGGGTTTTCCTTAAGACTGAACCTTAGTGCCTCAGGGATAACCTGGCTAGTTAAAGCACCTTTTATTAATTTTGTTTCCTCTCCTATCTTACTTCCCACTTCTTTACTGATTTTTCGTGCAGTTAATTTGCAATCAAATCCTTTTCTTTTCTTTTTTCTTTTTTTTTTTTTTAAGATGAAGTCTCACTCTGTCGCCAGGCTGGAGTGTAGTAGCACGATTTCGGCTCGCTGCAACCTCCAACTCCCTGGTTTAAGTGATTCTCCTGTCTCAGCCTCCCTAGTAGCTGGGATTACAGGCATGCACCGCCATGCCCAGCTAATTTTTGCATTTTTAGTAGAGACGGGGTTTCACCATGTTGGCCAGGATAGTCTCAATCTCCTGACCTCGTGATCCACCCGCCTCAGCCTCCCAGAGTGCTGGGTTACAGGCGTGAGCCACCACACCCGGCCCAAATCCTTTTCTTGAAGTATGCCTCTAGGGAACTCAGCTAAAGAGTGTTGGTGAAGGATGAGATTCTGGAGTTAGATCACTTGCTGTGCAAATGTCAACAAGGCCCTCCTTGCTGTTAGTAACTGGGTTAATAATTATCCACAGCATCCTATACAATGCAACTACTCATATGGATTAGATTAGAAAACCCAGAAGACTTGTAGAATTTAGCACTGGTTTATGTAATAGCTCTAGTGCTTAAAAGAATGCTAATTATGCATATTGTGATATTGTTTGGTGATTGTTAACACCATAGAAGCCCCAAAGAAGGAAAGTAACAAACATAGAATAGCAAACAAAATGACTTATAGTGTGACTTTCAGAAAGTGTCCTTGGTGGCACTTTAGGAGACCCTTATCAATTCTGGCTAGAGACAGGAGTGTGTTGAAAACTACAATCTTAATTGTAACAAGCGCACACCACAAAGGAAGCTTAATTTACAGCCATAGCAGGGCTTCTCCTGTGTTAAAGCCAAAGCTGTGTTAACAAATAAATGAGACCCTTAGGCCAGAATATTTGGGTAGAGATGCATGCGAGAGGTGTTTAAACCTCTAGGTAGCCCTAAACAGTCTAAGCAGGATGGGAAGATTTCACTCTCCTTGCTGGAGAAACACAGCCTCATACTATTATGAGAAGGACTCACCTGAAGTTAAGGCCCTGCCAAATGATTCTTGGCCTCCTTTAAGGTGTCTCCACCACTGCTCACAGCTTCTAGCCCAATAAGGAAATTCAAGTCTCACCACAGCTCAGGTAAAGTATAGTTCCTGCTATGGGAGGGAAATTATACACTAAAAGAATTCTAGGTCCTGGCTAATATGTACCAGCAGAAATCTGTAGAACATGCTAGGCAATTGATCTTGAGGATGTGGGACCAGAAAAGATGAAGTAAAGGCCGGTAGAAAATTGCTGACATAGGGCCACTCACTCATCATTTAGAATTGAATAATGCCTTAAGAATGCTGGAGATAGGTCTAATATGTTTCAATAATTATTCCTTGAAGCTTGGAAACACCAAGTAAATGAGGTAGATATGTCAGAACTGCTCCAGCAATTAAGAAAGCAGACAGAAGTATCAGAAAAGTGAGCATGTACAAACAGATTTATTCTACAAGACCAGAAAAATCACCAGCGGACAATGTTTGAGGGTCCTGCAGCTGGACACCCGGGAAGGAGCTGGTTTTGGTCTGGTTTGAGCATCATGGAGCTGGACACCCAGGGAAGGGCTGTGTTTTTCTGGTTTGAGGGTCATGGGGCTGGACAACCAGGGAGGAGCTGGTGTTTTTTTGGTTTAGGGGTCATGGAGCTGGAGATACGGTGCGGGGGTGGGGGCAGTGTTGTTCTAGTTTGAGGGTGGAGGAGCTGGAAATCCAGGGGTAGGAGTGATTTTCTAGTTTGAGGTCGTTTGAGGGTCAGCTGCACAACCCTCAACCTGGAGGGACACCAGCTCCCCCCTGGGTCTCCAGCTCCACAAACTTCTCACTGGAGAAACACTAGCTCCTCCCCGGATCTCCAGCTCCATGGCCCTCAGACTAGAGCCGCATCAGCTCCTCCTCAGGTCTCCAGCTCTACAACCCTCAAGCTGGAACAGTGTCAGCTCCTCTCCAGGTCTGCAGATCCACGACCTTCAAATGAAAACAACATCAGCTCCTCCTTGGATCTCCAGCTCCATGACCCTCAGACTTAAACAAGAGCAGCACCAGCTTCTCCCTGGGTCTCCAGCTCTATGACCTTCAGACTTAAACAAGAGCAGCACCAGCTTCTCCCTGGGTCTCCAGCTCCATGACCCTTGAAGTAGGAAAACATCAGCTCCTCCTTGTATCTCCAGCTCCATGACCCTCTGATCAGAAAAACATCAGCTCCTCCCCAGGTCTCCAGTTCCACGACCCTCGAACTAGGAAAACATCAGCTCCTCCCTGTGTCTCCAGCACCAAGACCCTCTGATCAGAAAAACATCGGCTCCTACCTGAGTCTCCAGATACAGGAGCCTCAAACTAGAAAAACATCAGCTCCTCCCAGGGTCTCCAGCTCCATGACCCTCAAACTAGAATAACATCAGCTCCTTCCCAGGTCTCCAGCTGCACGACCATCAAACTAGAACATCAGCTCCTCCCCAAGTCTTCAGCTGCATGACCCTCAAACTAGAACATCAGCTCCTCCCAAGGTGTCCAGCTGCATGACCGTCAAACTAGAACATCAGCTTGTCCCCGAGTCTTCAGATGCACAACTCTCAAACTAGAACACCAGCTCCTCTCCGGGTCTCCAGCTGCACGACCCTCACACTAGAAAGACGCCAGCTCCTCCGGGTTCTACAGCTGCATGACCCTCCAAGTAAAAAAAACACCTGTTCCTCACAGGGTCTACAGCTGAACGAACCTCAGACTAGAAAAACACCAGCTCCTCCCCAGGTCTCAACCTGCAAGACCCTCAAACTAGAACAACATAAGCTCCTCCCTGGGTTTCCAGCTCAAGGAACCTCAAACTAGAATAACGCTAGCTTCTCCCTGGGTGTCCAGCTCCACTACACTCTGATCAGAAAAACATCAGCTCCTACCTGAGTCTCCAGCTTCAGGACCCTCAAACTAGAACATCAGCTCCTCTCCGAGTCTCCAGCTGCACGACACTCAGACTAGAAAAACTCCAGCTCCTCCCAAGTTCTACAGCTACATGACTCTGAAACTAAAAAACACCCTCTCCTGCCTAGGGCTTCAGCTGAACTAACCTCAAACTAGAACACCACCAACTCCTCTCTGGGTATCCAGCTCCATGACCCTCAAACAAGAATAACACCAGCTCCCCCCTTGGTCTCCAGCTCCATGACCCTTAAAACAGAACAACATCATCTCCTCCCCGGGTCTCAAGCTGCATAACCCCCAAAATAGAACATCAGCTCCTTTCCAGGTCTCCAGCTGCAGGACACTTATACTAGAAAAACACCAGCTCCTCCCGGGTTCTACAGCTGCGTGACCCTCAAACTAATGAAACACCAGCTCCTCTCTGGGTCTCCAGCTGCACGAACCTCCAACTAGAACAACACCAGCTCCTCTCTGGGTCTCCAGCTCCATGACCCTCAAACGAGAACATCAGCTCCTCTCCAGGTGTCCAGCTGGATGACCCTCAAACTAGAACATCAGCTCCTCTCCGGGTCTCCAGCTGCACAACACTCATACTAGAAAAACGCCAGCTCCTCCTGGGTTCTACAGCTGCACAACCCTCTAACTAAAGAAACACCAGCTCCTCTCTGGGTCTCCAGCTGCACGAACCTCAAACTACAACATCAGCTCCTCTCCAGGTTTCCAGCAGCAGGACACTCATACTAGAAAAACACCAGCTCCTCCTGGGTTCTACAGCTGCACGACCCTCAAACTAAAGAAACACCAGCTCCTCTCTGGGTCTCCAGCTGCATGAACCTCAAATTAGAACAACACCAGCTCCTCTCTGGCTCTCCAGCTCCATGACCCTCAAACTGGAACAACATCAGCTCCTCTCCAGGTCTCCAGCTGAGAGACCCTTAAATGAGAACAACATCAGTTCCTCCCCGAGTCTTCAGCTGCACGACCCTCAAACTAGAACATCAGCTCCTCTCTGGGTCTCCAGCTGCAGGGCCCTCAAACTACCACATCAGCTCCTCCCCGAGTCTGCAGCTGCACGACCCTCAAACTAGAACATCAGCTCCTCTCTGGGTCTCCAGCTGCAGGGCCCTCAAACTACCACATCAGCTCCTCCCCGAGTCTGCAGCTGCACGACCCTCAAATTAGAACATCAACTCCTTTCCGGTTCTCCAGCTGCAGGACACTCAAATTAAAAAACGCCAGGTCCTCCAGGTTCTACAGCTGCACATCCCTCAAACTAAAAAAAACTCCTGCTCCTTCCCAGGTCTCTAGCTGCACGAACCTCATACTAGAACAGCACCAGCTCCTCTCTGGGTCTCCAGCTGCAAGACCCCCAAACTAGAACAACATCCACTCCACCCAGGTTCTACGGCTGCACAACTCTCAAACTAAAGAAACACCAGCTCATCTGCCGGTCTC
This sequence comes from Homo sapiens, assembly GCF_000001405.40. Taxonomy (NCBI): domain Eukaryota; kingdom Metazoa; phylum Chordata; class Mammalia; order Primates; family Hominidae; genus Homo; species Homo sapiens. The sequence continues at coordinate 187,869,186 of NC_000002.12, forward strand.
CAGCTGCATGAACCTCAAACTAGTACAACAGCTCCTCTCCGGGTCTTCAGCTGCAGGACACTCATACTAGAAAAACGCCAGCTCCTCCCGGGTTCTACAGCTGCATGACCCTCAAACTGAAAAACACCCGCTCTTCCCCAGGTCTCCAGCTGCATGAACCTCAAACTAGAACAACAAGTCAATACGAGAAAAACGCCAGCTCCTCCCGGGTTCTACAGCTGCATGATCCTCAAACTGAAAAACACCTGCTCCTCCCCAGGTCTCCAGCTGCACAAACCTCAAACTAGAACAACACCAGCTGCTCTCTGGGTCTCCAGCTGAATGACCCTCAAACTAGAACATCAGCTCCTCCCTGAGTCTTCAGCTGCACGACCCTCAAAATAGAACACCAGCTCCTCTCCGGGTCTTCAGCTGCAAGACACTCATACTAGAAATTCACCAGCTACTCCCAGGGTCTGCAGCTGCACAACCCTCAAACAAAAAACACCAGCTCCTTCCCAGGTCTTCAGCTGCAAGACCCTCAAACTAGAAAAATACCAGCTCCTCCCCAGGTCTTCGGCTCCATGACCCTCCAATTAAAACAACATCAGCTCCTCCCGGGTCTCCAGTTGCACGACGCTCCAATTAGAACACCTCTCCCCGCTGGATCTCCAGCTCCATGACCCTAACAGAAGAACAGCAACACCAGCTCCTTCATTGGTCTTCAGCTCCACAACCTAAGACATCAGTGGCAGCACTGGCTCCTCTGTGGACCTCCAGCTCAACGACTCTCAGACTTAAAAGGCAGCAACGTCTCCTCCCCAGGGCTCCATCTCCACCACTCTCAGATTTGAACAGCGGTCGCACCAGCTCCTGTCCGGGTTTTCAGCCCAATGACCCTCCCTGAACAATCCCTTCTCATGAAATTCAGCAGTCAAGTAAATGAATAAATGTTTTGTTTTCAAATAATAAAAATAAAAATAAATAAAACTCAGTGTTAGTATGAACATGGAGATAAATCAAACTAAAAATTTTTAATGATACAAGTCATTATATTTAGATATATATCTAGATAATATATTTAGATAATCTAAATATATTTAGATAATATATATGGTGCTATAGGGGAGGAAAAATACCTCTCTTTTTTCCATCTTAGGCTACTGGCTGAGGCCACATAACAAAAGACAGATTAACAAGAGAAAAGCATCTGAATTTATTTACTATAAATTTTACCTGACATGGGAGCCTTCATAAGGAAATGAAGACCCAAGGAAAGAGTTAAACCTAGTGCTTTCTTTTTTTTTTTTTTTTTTTTTTTTTTGAGATGGAGTCTCACTTTGTTGCCCAGGCTGGAGTGCAATGGCACAATCTCGGCTCATTGCAACATCCAACCCCCAGGTTCAAGTGATCCTCCTGCCTCAGCCCCCGCTAGTAACTGGGATTACAGACATGCACCACCATGCCCAGCTAATTTTTGTATTTTTAGTAGAGACAGGGTTTCACCATGTTGGCCAGGCTGATCTTGAACTCCTGACCTCAGGTGATCCACCTGCCTAGGCCTCCCAAACTGTTGGGATTACAGGCATGAGCCACCGCGCCCAGCCAAACCTAGTGCTTTTATAGTGGGCTGGATGAAGAATAAAGAGTCGTGGAGAACTATGATAGGGCAAAAACAGTATGATGTAATGGCATTAAACTGGGGCAACTTAGTAAGGGCAGTATCTTCAGATTTTTCTAGGTATCTCTGTGTCTTTTGAGATAAGGATGCTCATTTCTTCTAGTTGTAGAGAAGTCATCTTTCACATGAGGGTCTTAACGATTTGCTTCAGGAGAAGATTGAGAAAATCCTTCCTAGGTTTTAAAACTGGCCTGGGGAGAAGGGTAGCAGAAGGTCACAGAGACATCCCTACTTCTGCCATTTTCTCAGATTCCTTCTGCTCAAAATATTCTGTATATATGCCAAGATGCCATTATTTTGGAGTAACATGTCCTAAACCCTATCAATGCCTTAAGGCATATTCTCAGAAAATTAAAGCCATCTAAGAAAAAGAAAAATTATAACTAAAAGAGATTATAAACATTGTTCAACATTAGCTAAAAATAAGTTAATTTTTGCAAAATATATTTTATAAATGTTCATATATCTACAGAACATTATTCATGAAAACATATATTTTAAAGTTCCCAAATGAATTACAGATATCAGTGATGTTTTATGCAATACTTTATATATGAAGTCTTTGATTCTTTTTCATTAAGCTAGTAAGAATCTGTTAATTACCTCTTATTTGGATGTCATTCTATTTATCAATACCTGTAAACAGTTATTGAATGTTTATTATGTACCAGGCTTTTTCCTAACTTTTAAATTGATTTTCTTATAATCCTCGCCCTAGCCCAATGATATAGGCATTATCACTATGTTAAAAAGTTGAGAAATCGAAAATGAGGCTAAAAAGGATGAAATAATTTTCCCAAGATTACATAGCTGGTTAGCGACCAAGCTAGGAGTTAAATTTCTATAATCTGACTGCAGTGTCAGCACATTTATATATTATCATGGTTACTAAAGTACATATTCCATGAAATAATGCCTATGTATTTTTTCAAAATCTCTCAGCATAAAAATTATTCAAACAACAATTTATATAGTTTATATACTACATCTTTCAACCAATATTTTGAATCACATCCATTTCCCTTCCAGATTATAACAAATAAATCCAAAAACCAGTAGGAGCCAAGGGGACCACACACATAACCACCAAGTCTCCCCTCTCCTAGACACTCATCATCAAAACACCTTAGGCATTTTCATTTCTCTCTTTGCTTTTCCACTTCTCAGTTCTTATTAAAATAACTGTGCTTAGGGCTTTATTATCTCTAGCCTGCTTTGTTTTACAAACTTCCACCATTTTCCTTCTTCAATCAATCATATTTATCAGAGCCAGTGTTGGAAAAAAAATAAAATAAACACTATTCCTTTCCACTCATTTGCTTGAAAACTCCATGGATTTCTGAAACAAGTGCACACTTCTCAGTCAGCCTTCAGGACCTGATAACCGCACCTTACTCTTCCACTGTGTCCTAGAACTCTGTGCAAGAGAACTGGTCATCTGCTCCTTGCTTCGGCAATGGGCTTCCCAACAAGAATGCACCCCTTTTCAATAAATGTACTCAAAGTTTGCTCTTTCATAAGATCCTGATTCAACCTCTCCCCACAAAGATTCAGCATTTCATGTTAAATTCTTCACAGATTTTTCCATAAATTATGTTTATAATATTTTGATTATTCAGTTATAAAATTACAAATTCTTCAAAATGGAAGAAATCTAGGACATTATTTAATTTTACATGTTTCAGATGAGGAAGATGGGGGCACTCAGTGTAGCAATACTTACATTTATATTTCGATACATTGTTCTCTTATTTCCAAATATATACACACATTTTTTTTAGTGTCTGAGCAAATCATTACCAAATAGTTATTGATTGATCAGCACTTGTATAACATAAGCTTTAAAGACTAGTATATAGACTAGTATATATCAGAATCATACTGAGGGCTGGTTAAATCAGTTAGCTGGGTCCTATTCTCAAAATTTCTAATTCAGTAGGTTTGGGGTGGAGCCTGAGAATTTGTCTCAAACAGGTTCCCAGGTGGTGTTGAATCTGCTCATCCAGGAACCATATTTGGAGAAGAGGTGGCCTAGGCTATAAAATGACAAATATAATAACAGCCTATCGTAAAAAATGTCACACCTCTGTCCTTAAATTTTCTTTCATTCTATTTTCTTAATTTAATATACAGTGGTATAATATCAGAAGAAAAAACACATTTGCTTTGTGTTATTTTGATTTTAGTTTACCTAATTCATTATGTATAAAATATTGGCTTTTCCTTTTATACATTACTAATTCAATGAACTTAAATATGCTATTTTGATAACTATAATTGAAGTTCTTTCCATATGAAATTAAAAAATGGTTTATTCAATATTATTAAAATATATCCCTGCCTAGGTTTAAAAAATAAAAAATGTTGAGACAAAGGCTGTTGATCAGAACCATTTACTAAGTAATTCTTCATTTCTCACTACTGAGTGGAATCTGCCAAAAGAATGGAAGGTCATATCTTTGAGGACTTCCTCAGAGGTACAAAGTGCAGTCACAGCAGTACATAAATGAACAAGCCTAGCAGAAATGACCTCATTTCAGATTAAGAGAACAAGCTGCCTAGAATTCTTCATAGCTAATGTACCAAATTCATACCACGCTTTGTCACTGATTTTTGTTAAAATTAAATACAAATTGGGAAGTTGTTGTACATGGCAAAAGAAAGCCGCTTATCTTTAAAGAGCAAAGCTATTAGACAGTGACTAATGCAGGCATTCTATCACTATTCCTAGGAAAGCTGTGTCTGACATCTGTTATTTTTGTTTATTTTTATTTTCTACATACGTTCAGATTGTTTTAGATGTGCCATTGTAAATATAACCAAAGCTTTTTATCTCAGTAGCACCTCCTAGAGCAAATAGAGTCTGCCAAGGAAGCTGGCAAAATCAGAACCCGCATCTACACAAACACTGGGACCTGAGATTCATTCATATATATATTTCATACCTAACACATGCCTAATTATAGACTAGGAAGAAAAATTTAGGGAAAGTATAAGAAATGTATATATAGTGTATAAATTTTATTATGAAGTATATTTAGAGTTTCCATAGTCAAACATCTGTTGAATGCGGCTCTCGAAACATCAACAAAGAAACCTATTAAAAATATTAAGCTGAGTTTATTGCTCATCATACTTAAGAGAACTACCTTAACAAAATCTTAGTAACATCCCAGAGGAGAGAACACAAAGTCTAGACATTGAAATTGTGAAGTCACTTTTAAGACAGTTCTTTCAACATGGGGACTTGGTTAGGATTGGGTAACAATCATGAAATAATGGTTTATAAGCAGTAGACACAGCAAGGAGAGGATGATCAGGCAAGGAGTCCAAAGAGTCATGGAGTATAAATTGTTGTTTGATGCTTTTCTGTGGAAGAATTAATGAGTCCTTGAGAAAATTCATGAAATTAACAGCAAAGAAATTTATCATTTTTCTCATCCTGGGCAAGCGTTTTCAGGAATTATAAAGTTAAATTGATGAAGATAGCACAATACTAAAGTCATGTTAATATGGATAGTAAGCTATGCAGTTGATTTTATCAAATCACTGCAAAATTCTCAAATCCTTAGAGAATATTATCTCAGAACTGGCACTTTTGCTCATTCTTTATTAGGCGATTCAAATGATCTACAATTCTGCTTCTGGTGCAGTGTGCGATATAAATAGTGACTCCTAGAAGTGCCATATTTAGAGCTCGGTGTTGTTTTTTGTGTTGAAAGATTGGACATTCAGAAGCATCAGGAGTTAGATCAACTTTATAGTCAACGGGAGGTAGATCAGTGGGAATCAATACTGTTTAGTCCACATGTAGCATCACTCTGTCAATGTCATCAGTTTGTTCATAGGCCCGTGATGTCAGTTGCACAGTGACCTATGATTGTTCAGTGGCCCCTTCTATGGTGAATAAATTTCCCCAATGTGTAAGTAGACCTGGACTATTTTAGCAGCCTGAATTTTCACAAAGTTTCTCAACAGTGAGATAAAGTCTTCTTACCTTAATCTCAAGTGTGTTTTAAATGTTAGAAAGAATTTCAAAAACATTTGCAGAAAAAATAAAAAACTGCAAACAAAACATAGGAAGTACATTTCTCAGCACACGTTGCAAATAACTTTCAAAGATCACAGCTGTCAGTGGAGTATGATGAAAGCATCAGGCATTGTAAACATTCAAGCCCAGAAATGGCATGAACTACGTATCCCCCTATTTTTTCAAAAATGCTTTCAGTTTTGTAAAAAAATACATATATATTTATAACAATACCAATTCTCAGGCTATTTCTAAGAAGGATAAATAAAATACAATATTGCTTTCAATTGCTCAAGTGGAGAAAAATGTTCTGGTTTCTAACTCGGCCATTTATCATTTAGCAGAAGCTAAAACAAATGATAATAAGTAGTCAAGAGTGGGGGAAAGGCTAACATACATCTAAAGAAATATGTTCATGCAGTCTTCAACATGGCTTCCTAAAGATTTTACAAAGTACTGATTTAGTCTTTTTAAAGATGCCTTAACAACTTCACTAGGGATATGCTAATCCAACTGTCTGGCAGATGGAATGCTAATGCTTTGACAACTGGCAGGGATGGATCCTCTACAAATTGCTTGTTACTTCATTGTGATTTTGAAACATCCTCTGGAGAATAACTGTCATTACACTCCTTAATGTTACATTATAACTCATAGACTCTGACACCATTATTTAGCTGAGGCAGCGAGTTATTAGCCAAACTGCTGTGGGAGATTGTATTATTTGGAGAATTCCAAAAAATCAAATTAAATAAATAAACTAGAGCATAAGAACAGAACCCATCCCTCTGCAGATGATTGGCTTTTTCCTATGAACTAAAGTATTGGGTTTCTTTTTGTCTTTGATCAAGATCAAGTAATTCAATTGACCTAAATGTACATAGTGAGCTATATATTAACCAAAATGGTAGCTCCAAGACATACCTTCTTAAAGCATCTATTGGCAAAGTATCAATCTCTAATGAGCTGATTATTCAGGAAAACCAGCTGTCTAAATCATCCAGTAACTCTAATTAGTTAATACGTGTGACTGTGCTGGTTTCATACAATATCAGCACATCCTGGTTGCTCAAACATTATTAAAATCAATTATGAATTACTGGGAATAGCAAAATGAAGAGGTCATTATTGAGTCAGATGATTATTTGAGGAGATATTCTGGGCAAATTTCAAGCTAACCACAGCGTGTTTATGGAAGGAAAGGAAAGGGTGAGGAAGCTTCCTGATTAATGGAGATAGCCAGTGAGTGGTGTGCTGATTGTTAAAAAACTTTGTAAGCCAGTTTGTTAAACACAACTATTATTTTTAAAATAAGCCTGTAATCCCCAGCACTTTGGGAGGCCGAGGCAGGCGGGCGGATCACGAGGTCAGGAGATCAAGACCATTCTGGCTAACACAGTGAAACCCCGTCTCTACTAAAAATACAAAAAAATTAGCCGGGCCTGGTGGTGGGCGCCTGTAGTCCCAGCTACTCGGGAGGCTGAGGCAGGAGAATGGCATGAACCTGGGAGGCGGAGCTTGCAGTGAGCGGAGATCGCGCCACTGCACTCCAGCCTGGGCGACAGAGCAAGACTCCATTTCAAAAAAATAAATAAATAAATAAATAAGTTATATAACCTTACAATTAAATAAATTATACTAAAATTGAAATACATAGTCAAAACCATCATTTCATAATTATTTTACTACATTTAACAGTTATCTACGTTCTTGGATTTATTTGTTGTTGATGTAAGGAAAAAGTACCGTGTAACAGCTCACAAACTTCCTGAAAATTTAACAATCAGTTGTCAAAAGCTGAAAGGTGGTGGCTTCAGCACACCACTGACTATCTCCATTAATCAAATTCCTTCCCAACTCTGGGTTCAATGATGACTCATTGATAGCTTGGAATTGGATTTACACTACCGAAATAAGCAAAAACTGCAGTTTGGTATTTAGATAGCTGAAGATAATCATCATTCCGTTGCAAACCTATAGGGCTATTTCACATTTCTGTAAGCAAACACAGAAACTGTCTGCTAACTCTGAGTTGGCAAATATATGAAAACTCCAGTTTCAAACGTGTTATAAATCAACAGTTATATCATTGAATTAGCTTAATAAATTATGTAGGACATAATGTATGTTTGTTTGAATTCAAATTCCAGAGCTTGTCAAATAGCTGGGATTTTATCTAATAAATGTTGTAAAATACAACTAAGTCCAATAAAAGATAAAAGCTGTACTTGGAAGGCAGATAAAACTAACTGAATTTCACAAATGGCAGTATCACCAACCACCTATTATTTAATGACAAAATATTCATTAAAATATGGCAGGATAACTTAAATAGCTAAAATTGATATATAAGTAGCATTTGGAGTAATACTTCTCCAATGGACAGATAAAAAAATTCTTCAAATTACTCTACTAAGCTATGAGTTTTGTTTTTTTTTTTTCACTAAACTATGATTTTGAGTTTTATCCATTGAACCTGTATAAAAATCTTAATTTCTTCACAATTATCTTTACATATTGTTCTAAAGAATCTGATTTATTTTAGTGTTATTCTAGTTATAAGCATCTAAGTCATCATCTCACTGTCTATAACCTGAGAAGGAAAGAATCATATTTGTGACTTGCTGTTAAGTTTAATTATCAACCTGCTAGACAGAATTGCACTTACTGCAAGTGTAAAAGTCCCTTGTTAAGTTAGCCTGCTCTTCCACTCAAAGGAACACTGTCACTTCCAAGACTTGCCCTTCTAACTGCAGACTGCTGGATCTTTCCTTAGCAACACTTCCTTTTCTACTCTGTTGGGTTCTCTTCACTTATCAAAATTAATTCTCAGCTAACCTGGACAACACTGTGATGTTTATTTCCTTCAAAATGATTTGTACCCCAGTAAATTATAACCATTCAGATTCCTGCTTTGCACACAGAAAGCTATTCGTTCTTATCCTTTTTCTTTTGTTACTAATAGAATGCATGCATTGTTTAAATTATCTGCCTAAGCTTTTTTAATAGAGTAAATAGTACAGTATAGAATTTATTTTGAAAAATAAAATAAAGGGTCCAGGCTTTTTAAACATACAAAAATTAAGAATACAGAGTGGCCAGTTTTCAAACAAAAAAAGCATTGCCCTCCAAAAAGTCTTTTAGAAATAAAATTTAAAAATACAACTATTGTTTACCTACTTTTGAAATAATTATGATAATTATGTTGGATGTTAATAATAAATAAATTCACTCTAATTCAATTCATTGGCAATGGAATCATCCTATTTCATCCACCCACCCTCAACAAGTTTTGTTCCAACATTACGCACTAAAACAGAATCTCTTTTACAGAAGACTACATTGTTTTGGTGTACTGTTATTTTGAAACCAGAGATAGGAATGCAAAACAAGTCTATTTAGAATGGATTGTCAAAACAACATCTGGTTTTGACAGATTTTGCTTAAATTGCTGATTGTTCAGCATCTGAAATTACTTTCCTCTTAGTACTTTTTTTAATATGAACATGAAGTTTTCCACTAAGACATATCATAAATAAATAAGATTCATTCTCTTCTGGCCTTTTCAAATGTGAATTAATTCAAAGACTCTTAAACAGAAGAAAAAGAACACTAGATCATATGCCTATTACACAAGTATCTAAAACCTCTAGGGTCAAACTTGGAAATCTGTTCTTTTTTCTCATGTGAATAAATCTAGTTTAAATGTGTGTGTGTGTGTGTGTGTGTGTCTTTATTCACTTTTTACATTCATATTAATTTCAATTTATTGAAATAAAGATATTAGCAGGATATTTGTATTATCTTTTCATACTACAGTTTTTCTGCTTAACACACCAATAAAATAGATGTTGCTCACTGACAGTGTACCATAGCCACTTAGAGTGTGCAAAATTTGCATGCATTTAGTTATCTGAACCTATAAATATATGAAAAAATAAGCACTGTCTTGGTTTTTATTTCCATTATAGACAGCAAAAAAAGATATAAATAGGGCCATGGTACAATGATTTAATTATAAGAGGAAAAAGCTTTATCACTGGAGAAACACTTGTGAAGTTTACAACCCTGAGACACAGGCCTCCCAAAAGATCGAGTTTTAATCAGCTTATGGAAGGCTCCCATTCTACCACACTATTTTACCATACCAACGGTGCTTTCATATGATAGCTGTGGGTTCTAAAGCTGAACTAGCTGTAACATACAGACTATCTAGAAGAGGTACTTAGGAAAAGCCCAAAGTCAAGAGCATAGCTAAAAACAAAGACACTAAAGGAATTTGAAGACTCTAGAACTGCAATAAAAATAAAGAATACCTTTCTTGGGTTCATCAGTAGACATAACACAGCCAAGGAAATAAGCAGTGAGCTTGAAGGTAACTTAATAGAAGCTTCCTAAACTGAAAGGCAAAGAGAAAAGGAATTGAAAAAAAAATGAATATGAATATTCACAATAATTTCAGAGGATGTAATATATGTGTGAACATAATATCAGAAGAAGAAACAAACAAACAAAAAAACAGAAGAAACGGAGAGGAAGAAATATTTGAAATAGTAATGGCCAAGAACTTTTAAAAATTAGTGGTAGACACCAAGTCACAGATGCAGCAAGTTCAGAGAACATCAAGCCGAATAAAAACCAAAAACCCCACAGGTGGGCGTGTCATTAAAACTGCAGAAAAATAACAAAGAAAAAACAAATTCTTACAAGAAGCCAAAGGAAAATACACCTTACTTATAGAGAAACAAGGATAAGAATTATAATAGCCTTTTGTGCTACAATTAAAAAGACACTTGGTCTTTATCCCTCGTTCCTGGCACAGAGCTGCTAAATCCCTTGGAATTTCCTGAGTGATAAGACTTTGTTATGCTAGCGAGGTTACACATATGAAATATATTGTATTTTATATGCACACACGTATTTACATGTATTTATTTGTATATATATGTGTATGTATGCATATACACATATACACGCACATACACGCACACACATTTTTTTTTAAACCAAGTCTCCCCTTTGTTAATTGAGTACTATTTCTTCACATCTACTGTCTTTGGTCTGGAACTGCCTCCATATAATATATGATAAACATTAGTGAGAGTAAATTACTAAGATTTCCAAATAAGACTACGTATATTTGAATAAATGTTATTTTTTTAAATGATGTACTTAGGCGTTTATGCATTTCTCCATTACTCAATATGTTTTCAGACTCTTTGGTAAGCTCTACAAATGACTTATTACCAATATAGGAAATCAGACTGAATATTGGATCTCTCACCTTATTTTATTTTTTTTCTAAAGGCTACATGCATAGCCTGATAACCCAGTTGATTCAAATAACAAGTTCAAACAAAATTAAATATGGCTGTCTGAAAGGTAATTTTTACCTTGAAATATTTACCTAAATTGGAGACATTTAAAGTAATGCGCTACAAGTTTTTTGGGCTAGTCCCAAAAGTGAGTTTTAAGGTACATCATATTAAAGTATAAATAGGAGACACTTTGGTAGCTTCTGCCAGACCATGTTCTCTGCTGCATGCCTTTTCCATCCCTGTAGTTAGGGTCCCCAAAACATGATGTTTGTACTATATGCCCATGACCCCTTACAAGTGATCATTATAGAAACAGATAGACATCCACGGTAGGATGAGATCAAAGATCAAAATATGTAATCAGAGAATTCTAAGTAGTTGCATTCTACTATGTAAAAGATGCAAAGTTGATTAGTGTAAAAAAATAAGATTATAGAGAAAATGTCTTTTATTAGTTGTCAAAAAGACTTTCCAGTTCATTGCCACAGATGCTGCCTTAGACCTGGCCATTTCCCTATCCTTAGGTTCCATGATATTCTCCAGCAAAATGTTGGGGCTCAGCAAAATGATACCCCAAAGTATGGTGCTTTGACTTGTTGAGTACAACTCACTCTTGAACAATGGAGGACTTATGGGCACTAGCCACCCACACAGTGAAAAATTCACACATACATTTCGAATCCCCTAAAATTTGACTACTAATAGCCTACTGTTGACCAGAAGCCTTCCCCATAATATGAACAATTACCACACATTTTGTATGTTATATGTATTATATACAACATTCTTATAAGTAAGCTAGAGAAAATAAAGATGTTATTAAGAAAAACATCAAAAAGAGAAAATATGTTTACTATGTATTAAGTGGAAGTAGATTATCCTCATCATCTTTAGGTTGAGTAGGCTAAGGATGAGGAAGAGAAAGAAGGGGGGTAGGTATTGCTGTCTCAGAGGTGGAAGAGGTAGACGAGGTAGAAGTGAGGCAGAAGAGGCAGATATACTTGGTGTAATTTTTATTTTTAAAAAATCTGCATATACAAGGACCCTTGCCATTCAACATTGTGTTGTTTAAGGATCAACTGTACTTTGCACAAAGGAAACAGCCTCAGAACCAAGGTCTCTCTGACCTTCTCCCACACCCGCTTCTCATGTTTTGCCCCTCTGCCTCTCCTGAAGCACAGAGAGGAGCTTTTCCTAAAATTCCCTTATCTGGCTAAGGAAAATTCCTCCAGAATAAATGCAATTGTCTTGGGTCCCGCCCTTATAATCTCACCAAACAGAAGATTAACTCTCAGGAAGGAAGTCTAGAGTTGACACCACACACAGAGCCATAGAAATTTTGTTCCAGGCTATTATCTGTTCTTTGGGCCTATTTATCTCCCCTAAAAATTATTTACTCTTCCTCTAAAATTGCCTACATTCCCCACTTCCCTCTTTCCTATGAAGAGGGTATTTAATCTTCAATCATCTGGCCCATCTTTGAGTTTTCATACTTTGTGTGACTCCCATTCACATGAGAGAGTGTTTTTCTCCTGTTGATCTGTCTATTGTCAGTTTACTTCAGCAGACTCAATTATCAACTTGTCAGAGAGAAAGTTTTAACTTTCCTACAATAACATAATAAATCTTTCCTTACGTGTTAGGTAGTTTAGGCTATCAAGTTGCTGCCCAAGTACCTTGACTAATTCTATCTTCATAGTTTAGGTAGTGATTTAGACCATTGCTATCAAACAGTAGTTCATGGACAGGTACTAATCCACAAAATATTTGATACTGTCATTGATAATATAAGGAAAATGTACTAGATTGTAAACCAACTATTTTATGACTTTAAAGCATTTTTTAATGGCAAAACTTTATCAAAGAAGGAAGTGGTAAATTGATTTATATTCTGGCATATGCTCCTTATCACCTTTCAAACCTATAATAAACAGACGACATAAAAAATTGAATTAGTAACTTAGAACTGTCTCATAAAGATAAGCCCAAGCCCAGACACTTTTTTGGTAAAGTTTACAAAAAATTAGAGATGAAATAATACTATTTCTTCACATGTTCTCCCAGAAAGAGAGAGGAAGCGAGGAATACTTACCAAATTATTCCAGAAGGCCAGTATTACCCTGATACAAAAGGCAGACTAAGATGTTACATGAAAATAAAAACACAGATACAAAAATTCTCAATGAAATATTAGCTAAGTAACACATAAAAAAGATTCTACACCATGGCCAACTGAGATTTCTTATGGTTATGTAAGGTCAATTTAAGATCCAAAAATATCAATATATGTAATACACCATGTTTAAAAAATATAGGAGGCCATTGTTTTGGACGAAGTGCCTATATTAGGCTGTAACAGACCAGACTAAAAAGCAAAGGACAGTCACGCAACCCAAACTAAGTTGTCTGGCCATCAAAGAAATCAGGAGAAATAGCCAATTTCCTGAACAGACCAGTTTAAATACTTCAATGGGCATAACAATGAAGTTCCCTGTGTTCTAATCCTTACACAAAAATGGTAGCTTTAAGTAACCTGATGTTGACTAATCAGTTATTTTCTATTGTTCTGTCCACCTGTCCCTGCCTTACCAGAAAAGCATCTTTGAAAGGAATAAAATGCTCTTTGTTCTTTGCTTCTGCTTTCTTCAGTTCTTCCCTGTCTAAAGAGCCAACCCTTTTGGTTCAGCTCATTGAAACACTTATTCTATTTTATGGAATGAAGTTTTGGTGCTTCCAGAATTAAAAACAAGGCCAACTGAAATACTTAAACTAAATTTGTTGTAATTTTGTCTTTTGATAGCCATTTTGGTAGAATAAAGGGCAAGAACCACATGATCATCTCAACAGACACAGGAAAGTATTTGACAAAAATCTGTCACACTTTCATGATAAACTGTCATGGAAAACTGGAAATAAAAGGGAATTTTCTAAAATTGATAAAGGGCATCTATCAAAAATGTAGGCCAGTATCATATTTAATGTGAAAGACTGACAGCTTTCTCTCTCATATTAGGAAGAAGGCTAGGATGCCCACTTTTACCAATTTTATTTAGTATTGCACTGGAGTTTCCAGTCAGTACAACTAGGCAAGAAAAGGAAATCGAAGGCATCCAGGTTGGAAAGGAAGAAGTAAAGCATTCTGTTTTTATTCACAAATGACATGATCTTTTATATAGAAAACCCTAAGGGGATCCACGCAACCCCACCCTTATCAAATCACATACACACACAACTACCTATACTGTAAGTTCAGCAGGATTTCAGGATAGAAGATCAATATATAACTGGTCATAATTCAGTTACTTAGGATAGCGCTAATAAAATATTACTGACTACATTGTTTTAAAAGTGCTTTCAAACAAGATGTACAAATTAAGATTTTGTTCAGCTATCTATTCATTCCAAGGAAATTTCTGGATGCCATATTTGGGAATATTCTACTTTAATCATAAAATTTAAGCCATGCATATAATATCTACTGGAGTTGTGTTTATACTATTTTTATAAAATTATATATACACACACATGTGTGTATAATGGTAAAATACATATTTTACATACATATATATGTTACCATAAGTAACATAGAGGCCAAATAAATAAATGAGAAATGTTTTTTCCTTTGGTTTACATCTTTAACATTTATTGACAAATACTAATTTTACATATTTATATGTATAACATATTGTTTTGAAATAATATATGTTGCAAAATAGCTAAATCTGTTTAACATATGCATTATCTCACATACTGGAAAGTTTTAATTATTAATTATAATAATGTTATTTGCTATAATTGACTATAATTCAAAGTCTTGCTAAAATATTCACTTTGGTCCTTAAAAACAGCTCTTTTTTATATTTTGAGAACTATCACTTTCATTTTTATTACTAGAACAGGAAGAATCAATGTAGGGTTTATATGGAAGAGATTTTCAAGTAGATCAGTCTCTGCCAATATACATACCTCTGTAGAGTCAGCAACTTTCATGTAGACACATTTTGGCTCGGCAGTTTTTCCCAAGAGTCAGCACATATTTGGGGAAATCCATCCCCATTTTCTCTATAACTGAAGAAAATTTGACCCAATAATGAATCAAATAAAATAGTATATATTTTTTAAATTTAGTGGAAACAAAATTTAAAAGTGATATAATTGATAAGTAAGTTTTAAATTAAAAGGAAAGAGGCATTCAAAAAAGATAATCTTTCACAGTTGTATTTGATACACAATATAATTTTGCAAATGATAATACTTTTGTATAAATGAGGGCTCTATTGGTTTCATTAATTAGACATTCAATCAACTCGTTAATTTCCTAGGATATACCAGGTGTTGAGTTACTGCTTGAGATGCAGAAATGAAGAAGACATAGTCTTTGCAATTAGGGCATTCTCAATGCACTTGAAAAGTCATGAAAGAAAATCAATATCTACAATATTGTATAGTAAGTGCTATAGTATAGGAATGAATAAAATATGATGGGAGCAGAAGTAAAACTGGGTATGAACAACAGTGCTCTTGAAGGAAATTTCCAGAAAGATTTGGAAATGGTTACAAGAGATAAAAAACGTAAAACAAAGCTACAATAAAAAGCATGGGTCAAGTAGATGTAGAAGAAGATTATTTCCAGATAGAAGTAACAGAATATGGAAAACTAAAGAGATAACCACACCTCCTCCAATCATTTAAGCTATGCCTACTCATATACTCAACTGAACGAAAGGGTGATTTACACACACCAACCATTTTCATGTTCATTAGACTGGACCTTCACAGGTGTTCTACGTAGTTCCTGCTGATACTCTCTTTACTTTGTGAATTTGTGGTCCTATTTTGCTTCTGGCCAATATATTTAAATAATTCTGTCTCCCCATCTTATTCAGCTTGGCCAAGAAAGTTGGCTCTTCAGAACCCAGCCCAACAGTGTTTGTCACCCCAGGAAAACTTGGTATTAACATTCCTGTGAGAAAAGTGGTAGTAGATGGAATGGGTGTAGGAGAGTGGGAGATGTATTAGTTGTATTAGCCGAGCGCATGCAGCTGGTAAATATTTACATATCCAAGACTGGGGAATTTATGAAGAAAAGGTGTCTTAATGGACTCACAGTTCCAGGTGGCTGGACAGGGCTCACAATCATGATGAAAGGCTAAAGGCATGTCTTACATGGTTGCAGACAAGAGAAAATGAGAGCCAAGTGAGAGGGGTTTCCCTTTATAAAACCATCAGAGCTTGTGAAACTTATTCACTACCAAGAGAAAGCATGGGGAAAACTCCCCTATAATTCAATTATCTTCCACCAGGTCCCTCCCACAACACGTGGGAATTATGTGAACTGCAATTCAAGATGAAATTTGGGTGGGGACATAGCCAAACCCTATCTTTCTGCCCCGTCCCCTCCCAAATATCATGCCCTCACATTTAAAAACCAATCATGCCTTCCCAACAGTTCCCCAAAGTCTTAACTTATTTCAGCATTAACTCAAAAGTCCACAGTCCAAAGTCTCATCTGAGACAAGGCAAGTCCCTTTCACCTATGAGTCCGTAAAATCAAAAGCTACTTACTTCCTAGATACAATAGACCTACAGGCATTGGATAAATACACCCATTCCAAATGAGAAAAACTGGCCAAAACAAAAGGTCTAAAGGACCCAAACAAGTCCAAAATCCTGTGTGGCAGTCAAATCTTAAAGCTCCAAAATGATCTCCTTCAACTCCATATCTCACATCCAGGTCACACTGATGCAAGATGTGGGTTCCCATAGTTTTGGGTAGCTCTGCCCCTGTGGCTTTGCAGGGTACAGCCTCCCTCCTGGCTGCTTTCATGGGCTGGTGTTGGGCGTCTGTGGCTTTTCCAAGTGCACAGTGCAAGCTGTTGGTGTATCTACCATTCTGGGGTCTGGAGGACTATGGCCCTCTTCTCCCAGCTCCACCAGGCAGTGACCCCCAGTGGGGATTCTGTGTGGGGGCTTCAATCTCACATTTCCCTTCTGCACTACTCTAGCTGAGGTTCTCCATGAGAGCCCCACCCCTGAGGCAAGCTTCTACCTGGTCATCCAGGCATTTCAATACATCCTCTGAAATCTAGGCGGAAGTTCCCAAACCTCAATTCTTGATTTCTGTGCACCCATAGGCTCAATACCACATGGAAGCTACCAAGGCTTGGGGCTTACATTCACTGAAGCCACAGCCTGAGCTGTACCTAGGCCCTTTTCAGCCATGGATAGAGTGGCTGGGACACAGGGCACCAAGTCCCTAGGATACATACAGCAGTGACCTGTGACCAGTAATACCACAGTTAAAATAATTTTAAAGACAAGGATCTCAAATTTATAGATGATAAATATAAACATTATACAAATATGAATACAAATATGATATATACAGAGAATATATATAATAGCATAGTATTTACATATAAATTACATATATACACTATTTTCTGTATTTTATGTTCCCTACAAATGATTTTAGAGTTTCCCTTTTTTACTTAAAATTCTAAAATTCTAAAATTTTATCCGAATTTGTCTTGGTGGAAATCTAAAAAATGATTATTCCCACTTGGCATTCAGTGTGGACTTTTAATTCAAAAGTTCACATCTTTTCTCAGCTCAGGATATTTTTTATGTTACATATTTTCTTTCTTTTCTCCTTTGTGATTGTTAATTCCCTGCCTTTGTGGCATCTATTAAGTGAATTTTGAAATCAATAGACATGTCCATGTGTCAAACATCTTTCCATAACTTTCATTTTGTTGTTCTTTTGCATATATTCTGAAGGAATGCCGTAGTTTTTTCCTAAGATCATTAAAACATTTTCAGCTTGGAGACAAGTAATCTGAGTTTAGAAATCATCTATGAATTTGAGATTCCTGTCTTTAAAATTATCATTTTAATTGTGGTATTCTTGGTCACAGACAATAAAATATAATTTCACTGGCAATAGCAATGGCATATAGTGATATACTAATGATCTTCATATGCTGTATAAGAAGAGAAGCATTAATTTCTCATCTAGTTTGTACATGTTCCCATTCCTCCTCTAAACAAATAAACCAAGACCCAATAATTTTTGTATCATGTTGGTTGTTTCACAATTATGTTAATCATAGAACTATTGTACACCTTTCAAATTTTCTTTTTACATATTAAGAAATACAATTTTCTCAATTTAAGGTTTCAAAAATGTAGATATTTTTTCTTTGAATGTTACATGTCTTAGAAGTGAAATACAGTCCACTAGAAAATGTAACCTACCCAAAGTTAAGAAACCTTAAAGACAATGCAAAATCAAACTGTTCACATCCTGTGAAATAAATACATTGTAAGTGCAAATGAGAAGTTACTTCCGTTAGTGATAAGCACAAAAAAATGAAATGAATTGAACAATAATTATAAGACATCTCAGAGATTGAGAACTTGCTTTAATGAAGCTGAAATTCAGAGGGAAATTAAACTATATGTCTTATTTGAGAAACAAATTGCTTATTCCAGACCCAATACTTTTATGGCTCTGGGAAATCCCAAGTTATTTTTCTGAATTAAGACAAGAACCAATTAAAATGTTTTCAGAACAGCATAGACTTTTTATATGGGCTATGACATATAATTGCACATTTATTATAAACAGTCAGGGCTTCTATATGTATTTAGCAGATGGATATTGCAACCTTTAGCAAAATAAATTAACTAATTCACCTCCCTGAAAAAGAAAAGTATTATTTAAATACACCATCAAGTGATATCATACTAAATTACAAAAGATTCCTATTCAGGCTCCAGCTGCAAAGACGATTTACTTATTCTAATCTACAAAATATATCACAAAGGTCTTCAACACTAATATCCAATAAAGACACATGGTGATATGATTAATTAATGCATTAGATGGAAAGCATAAGAAAAAGAAAAGAGTCAAGTTAGACTCCAAGATTTTTTACTTTTACTTAAGCATCTAAAACACTGTGATAGCCATTTACTAAGATAGGGTATTCTGCTGGAGAGATTTTCTAGCAGGATGGTCCGAGTTGGATTTGGGAATGCTGGAGTGTTTAAGTAGGAGTATTCTCCTTTACTGTAAACTCACTAACAGCAGCTTCTGCTGAAACACCAGCTGTGTAGTCTGAAAGGATCTCTCTTATGGAAGAGGTTTAATAGATTTTCCTAACAAAACTGGAAATAGAAATAATTCAAAATGTCTGTTTCCCGAGATATATATCACCATTAGTCATTGCTACTCACCTACAGGACAATTTCTTGTCTTCCACAATTAAGAGTTCTTGATTCACTTTTGTATCAACTGCAATGATGAAAGTGCTAAGTTGTTTGCAATAATCTACTCAATTTTTCTGCTTGGTATTTTACTATAGGCATTTCACATTAAGACCAGCATAATGGTGGGGAAAAGTTGCTATTTATATAGTTTTGCTATTTATACAGTTTCCCAAGCACATTTTACTTGTTAAGAGAAAAATTAGTTTCTTTCACATACCAAAAAAAGAAAAAAGCGAGTTGTGAATATATTAACTGAAAGTATATTATTTTAGCCAGGTGCAGTGGTGCACACCTGTAGTCCCAGCTACTTGGGAGGCTGAGATGGGAGGGCAGATCATTTGAGACCAGGAGTTTGAGGTCATCCTGGGAAACACAGCAAGACCTTGTCTCTAAAATAAAATAAGTAAATTACATATATTTTTCCTTTTTTTATTATTTGAAGACCTTATTTAGTGTTATTCAGTGTAGATACTTAGAACAGAAAATAAGAAAAAAAGTCAAGCTGTAATCATTTCACTTTACTCATTTATACTAATTCTACTCCTGTTTTTTTGTTCATGAACAGACATGTTTGACCAAAGACATGACTAGATAGCCTGGCTAAAATGAATAATCCACCTTTTTAAAAGATGGCTAAGACTACAAGAAATGAAAAATCTGAGACAAATATGATTGTCCGAGTATAATAGAAGGTCTACTTTCAAGTAATCAAATAAAATAACAGCCAAACTAAAACTCTGTACCCAATAAAGATAACCTTCCAAAATGAAGGTAAGTGAAAAGGATTTCAGAAAAACAAAAACAGTGAGAATTCCTCTCCAGGAAAACTTTAAACACACACACACACACACACACACACACACACACACACACACACACACACAAAAGGGAGATTTTAGTACTGTACTATATTGTACAGTACTATAGGATGACTATGTTAAATAAAATATACAGATTCAAATAGCTAGAAGAAATATATGAAATGTTCCCAACAACAAAAAAAGGATAAATGTTTGAAATGACAGATATGCTAATTACCTTTATCTGATCACCATAAATTACATGTATCTAAACATCACTACATGCCTCAAAAATATGCACAATTATTTTGTGTTCATTAAAAATGAAATAAAATATTTTGCTCAGGAATAAGAATTCACACTTTTAAAAATACAGATGATTTAATTCTAACATTATAAGAAATTATATCTCTATGTAAATCAGAATTCTTCAGAGAAACGGAATCAGTGGTTTATAGTTTATTTATTTATTTATCATAATGAATTGACTCATGTGATGATGAAGTGCTAAGAAGTCCCCAAATCTTTCTGCAAACTAAAGACCGAGGAGAACTGATGGTGTAGTAACAGTCTGAGTCTAAGGGCCTGGGTATGAGGAAAGATGATGATGACAGTTTCAGTCCAAATGCAGAAAACCAATACCTAGGCTTGAAAACAGCCAGGTAGAGAGAGAAAATTCTCTCTGACCCTTTTTTGATTCAAGTCATACATTCAATAGAACAGTGGAAAAGGCAATCTGCTTTACTCATTCGAATGTTAATCTCATTCAGAAATTCAGAAACATCCCCACAGACACATGCAGAATAACGTTTAGCCAAATATATGGGTACATTGCAGTTCTGTCACGTTCACATATAAAGTTCACCATAACACAATAAATATTCTTGTACTTCTTTTATAACTTTCATGAATGTTCAACTATGTTGTAAATGCCAGGCAGATATTTATATATCTATAATCTCTACCACTTGATTTGTAAATTACTTATCAAACTAGTTGCCTAATAAATATTTTCAAATAAATGGATGATTAATATTTTGTCCTTAGATTTATTTTACACTGAGAAGTTGCAACACAAGAGCTGCTAAACCATTGAAAATATCTGAACTATAGTGTTGATGGCTGTTGTGAGACCTTTGTTCTCATCTTCTTAGTTTAAAAGAATTTAAACAAAAGACAAACAGCAAAAGAGGTGCAGCATAGAACAATTTACTACAAAGGAAAAATAATATTTTGAAAGTTAACTGCAGAATAAACAGTACACCCTGAGAGACAGAGAGGATTCAGGGTGGGCCGCTCATAAGTATGAGACAGCAAAGACTGGCACTAGGAAGACTCCGTTTATGGGAGTCTTACATAATTATTCATAAGGGGTGAAAAAGGTATTACTAGTAAGCATGTTCTGGGTGGTCCTCTGGGTGCACATGCACAGTAGCTGTACATGCTTGTTCATACATCAGATGTCTCATTAGCATCAGAAATCTCCACCCTGGGCTGTGTTTTTTAATCATATAAAGAGCAAAGGTTAGTCTGAAGACAGGTAAAAACAAAACGCACATGCTTTCTGCAGGGGAAATTCCCTACTGGAGATCGTTTTGCTTTAATGAGCTTGACTACAATGCAAATGCTGAGGCTTATTGTGTTTACTGTATGGTTGCCATGGTCTCACATCCTGGGAACATGGTTACTTCCTTGACTGTCTCTATCTTGCCTCAATAGGATCTCAGAAATATCTCCCTAGCTTTGTGATCATGTAGAAAATATTATCAGTACATATCAGCCTTGAGTATTTGCTAAATGCCCCTTTTGGGAAACTTTTATAAAAATAATGAATTTAAATCCTACCTAATGTTTAACATCAACAAATTCACTTTTCTAGTGTAAACCCTGAAAATTTGAGACAGGTCTTAGTTAATTTAGAAAGTTTATTTTGCCAAGGTTGAGGATGCCTGCCCAAGACACAGCCTCAGAAGGTCCTGATGACATGTGGCCAAGGTGATCAGAGCACAGCTTAGTTTTATACATTTTAGGGAGACATGAGACATCAATCAACATATGTAAAATGAACATTTGTTCCCTCGGAAAGGCAGGACAACCCAAGTAGGACAACTCATGCAGGGAGGGGGTTTCCAGGTCACAGGTAGGTGAGAGACACACGGTTGCATTCTTTTGAGTTTCTGATTAGCCTTTCCAAAGGAGGCAATCAGAAATACATTTATTAAGTGAACAGAGGGCTGACTTTGAATAGAATGGGTAGCAGGTTTGCCCTAAGCAGTTCCCAGCTTGAATTTTCCCTTTAGCTTAGTGATTTGGGGAGCCAAGATATTTTCCTTTCACACTAGTAAAATTATATATATATATATTTTTCAAGGTTCTCAATTTTTTTACTCTCATCTGTATCTTATAATAAATACTTCTTTTGTTCATATTTTGAACAAGATTTTGTTAATCTTCATGAAAAAAGTGATCTCAAACAAACATAGATTTTAAAAAGTCTACAAGAAGGTTAAAATAATTTCTACAAGAAGTTTGATGATATGGTTTGGCTGTGTCCCCACCCAAATCTCATCTTGAATTCCCGCTTGTTGTGGGAAGGATCTGGTGGGAGGTAACTGAATCATGGGGGCAGGTATTTCCCATGCTGTTCTCGTGAGAATGAATAATTCTCATGAAATCTGATGGTTCTGTAAGGAAGAGATTCCCTGCACAAGCTCTCTGCCTACTGCCATCCATGTAACACGTGACTTGCTCCTCCTTGCCTTCCACCATGATTGTGAGGCCTCCCCAGTCATGTGGAACTGTAAGTCCATTAAAACCTTTTTCCTGATAAATTACCCAGTCTCAAGTATGTCTTTATCAACAGTGTGAAAACAGACTAATACACTTGGGATCTGGTAGTAAAGAATTAGAAGAAAGTGCATTGTAATGACCTTAGGCCTGTCACAGCAAATTGCAGTGATTCACTTTTTCCTCCAACTAAATAGTAGCTGATATGATTTGGCTCTGTGTCCCCACCCAAATCCCATCTTGAATTGTAGCTCCCATAACTCTCACATGTTGTAGGAGGGACCCAGTGGGAGATAATTGATTCATGGGGTGGTTTTTCCTATATTGTTCTCATGGTAGTGAATATGTCTCACAAGATCTGATGGTTTTATAAGGGGTTTCCTCTTTCACTTGGCTCTCACTCTCTCTTGTCTACTGCCATAAGACTTGCCTTTCACCTTCCACCATGATTGTGAAGCCTCCCCAGCCTTGTGGAACTGTGAGTCCATTAAACCTCTTTTTCTTTATAAATTGCCCAGTCTCGGCTATGTCTCTATCAGCAAGAGTGAAAACCGACTAACACAGAAGCTACTTACAACCAATTTTACATGTAAATGGAATGTTAAAATAAATCCTAACATGCTATGAAAAGTGTCCAAAAAATCCATTTGAGTAGGATTGTTATATATATTCTATTCAAAACTAATTTATTCTAATACAAAATCAAGTAAAAATGCTCTATTGTGTTTGAACACCGGCAATGTTCACATTTCTTTTTTTTTTTTTTTGAGATGGAGTCTTGCTCTGTCACCCAGGCTGGAGTGCAGTGGCACAGTCTCGGCTCACTGCAACCTCCACCTCCTGGATTCAACCCACTCTCCTGCCTCAGTTTCCTGAGTAGCTGGGATTACAGGCACCCACCACCACGTCTGGCTAATTTTTGTATTTTTAGTAGAGATGGGTTTCACCATGTTGCCCAGGCTGTTCTCAAACCCCTGACCTCAGGTGATCCACCTGCCTCGGCCTCCCAGAGTGCTGGGATTACAGGCGTGAGCCACCATGCCCTGCCCACATTTAATTCTTAATGCACAAAAATGCACATTTTTGCAGTTAAGCATTAAAGTCTAATGATCTGTTATTAAATATACCAGATATAACAATAGTAAGCAAGTGTCAAGAATAATGGAATAGTTGTGTTTCTGCCAATTTATTTATTTTTGTTATCATTGTTGCCAATCTACATTTTGTTTCATAAATGGCTATTCCTTTTGTAGGACAGTAAATATTTCAGATACATTTGTTTGTTCCAGAAAGATAAAAAAAAAAGACATAAAACAATTTCTTTGTTTAGGTGTATCGAATAGCAGAGATATATATAAACAGATAGCAGAGTCTTTTCTTAACTCAGATTACACTTTTGTATTATTTACTTATTTATCTTAGTCACTCAGTGCCCACATAGTCCTTTTTCTATTACAGTTGGGCTGCATTTGCTTTTTCTGTTACCTTAATATTGAATGGAGACCACTCTAGGAATAAGCTTACACTTTGTAAACATCTAAAACAAGAGGTAGCACCTAAAAAAATTGACTTCTAGACAGTCAATGTCTGCTAAGATGAGGATGAGAAAACCATGTCCTGATCTTGAGCTAGAAATAACCTATTGGTCACCTTACAAGTGTTTAATATTCTAACTAAAATTAAATAATATCAATGACTCCTGAAAGTGACATTCCATGGGTAATAATGGAATGCTTAAATGTCAAATTCTGAATTAACCATTTTGTTATAAAATAGAGAATAAATGTGGCATGTAAGAAATGATTTAATTATTTTTCCTGGTTCTGAATAGGAATGGAATATCCATGGGGTGACCATATGTCCTATTTTCCCTGGGCAATGTCGTGTTAATTATGAAGTCCCAGTGTAAATATTAATAGTAATCCCTTTCACGAAAGTCTCCCACCATGAATGATAAAATATATTCTTGACTCGTACTATGGACACAGACCTACACGTTTTATCTGTCTCTCCTAAATCTCTTATGGCATTTTCAATAATCCACACTCCAGAGAGATGTTCTCTTCAGATAAATTAAAAGTAGTTTACATCACAAAGTTTAAATCATTTGTGTTTGATGCCTCTCCTTTGTCCTCCCACGGCACTAGACAACCCCTCTAACTTATCAACAGAAGATTGGAATGACCTGTTAACTTACCTCTCTCAAAAAACAAAATGTGTACCCAATGACATTTAATAAAAATACGAATAAAACAAATTGCACTTTTATAGTTTAAACTTGTAATTGTTTTTTTTACCTCATGGTTGTACAAGTTGCAAAGCCATTATCCTGTTTGCTAGATATTGATTTTTTTCAAGTAAATCTTTACCTCATGCTTAAGAAGAGAAAAGTCAATTGACTTTGTAATGTGTGTGCTATTTATTTACTCTGCACTGTTGTTGGGGTCTTTTTGAAATATTAACTTTCAAAGCAGGATTCTAAATACGCATAAATATTTAACTGGTCATTCTCCATTTCTTCAAAATAATTCACCTAGATGCTAAAATATTCTTTAACTTAAAATGGAAAAATAAGATGACTGTTTAGAAATATTCACTCATTAAGTACAATTGCCAAAAGTGATGATTAGAATCTATGTAGTAAATTAGATTTGTCCCATTTGCATATAAAAGAAAGCCATTTTTACTATTTGTCACACAGTTACTAACTATATACCAGAGGAAACTGTGACACAGTCAGAATTTCACTCAGAAACTAACATTGCTAGGCAAACAAAATTTTTTATATGAAAAAGAGGTCTTCAAAACACATTCATAAATATAAGAAACTTTAATTGAATTCTGTCATAAGACATAACTGAAAACAGAAAATTGCATCTTATTAAATCAAAAAGATTATCACACGTATAAAATATAAAGACTAAGGTAACATATTTTCATTTTATCTTTGTTTCACGAGCTTGAAAATTTTTCAGAGTAGACAGACTTTTCTGGGACATTACCTGAACATCACAACACTATTGATTTCCTCTAGGTCTATAAAACAAGTACTAACCAAGTTTCAAATAAGACTTTAATGCTGCATGAATCACTTTCAGCTTTTCAAGTCATTGAATTCTCAATATGATACTTCATCACACTGTTACACAAAAGCTCTCAAACAGTGTTATGTATTGTTTTTATTTATGTTGTGTTTTATAATAGCACTCTGGGCTTTCCCAACTCAGGTGAGGTGTCTGTAACAGAATTAAAAGCTGAGGCAGGTTGGAAGCAATGTTGACTTCCACCTTTAGTAGAAGTCTCCACTGAAGGTCATTGGGCTGAGTAAAACTTGCTGATTATTTACTTTACTTTGTAAAATTATTTTAATGTGTGTTAAATATTAGGAGGCTCCCCATAAAAATCTGAATTTGGGGCTGGACATGGCGGTTTATGCCTGTAATCGCAGTGCTTTGGGAGGCTGAGGTGGGAGGATCATTTGAGGCCACGAGTTCCAGACCAGCCTGAGCAACACAGCCAGATCCTGTCCATACAATAAAATTAAAAAATTAACCGGGCATGGTGGTGCTCCTGTAGTCCCAGTTACTCCAGAGGCTGAGGTGAGGTAATAGCTTCGACCCAGGTGTTAGAGGTTGCAATGAGCTATAATCATGGCACTGCACTTCAGCCTGAGTGACAGGACAAAATTCTGTCTCTCTAAAAAAAAAAAAAAAAAAAAACAGGCACGGTGGCTCATTCCTGTAATCCCTGCACTTTAGGAGGCCAAAGTGGGCAGATCACCTGAGGTTGGGAGTTCAAGACCAGCCTGACCAACATGGAGAAACCCCGTCTCTACTAAAAATACAAAATTAGCTGGGCGTGGTGGCACTTGCCTGTGATCTCAGCTACTTGGGAGGCTGAGGCAGGCGAATCGCTTGAACCCGGGAGGCGGAGGTTGCGGTAAGCCAAGATTGCGCCACTGCACTCCAGCCTAGGCAACAAGAGCAAAATTCCTTCTCAAAAAAAAAAGTCTGGATTTAGATTTTAAAAATTTTAGTGACACTAGGCCCATAGTCTCAGGATGCATCTGGCTGGAGCTGAATATCAGCTGACCCTGTTCGCTAACTTACAATAGTTTACCACAGTCACCTCTAAGCCTATGATAGGCAGGTATGTCCCATTATGGAATACGTAGGCATTTGCAGTTGTCAGCCTTGGCCTTAGTTGATCTAGAAGCATTAGTTCTATGTTTCAGAAGGGAACAATTACCAGGGAGGAATAAGCAGAGATAGAGAGGGGCTGGTTTCTTCCTCAGTCTCAGGAAGAAGACAGCATTCTTGATTCTGAGCATAATGTGGATCTGTACCACTCACTGACTGTGTCCCTGGTAGGGTTGCCAGACTTAACAAATAAAAAAGCAGGATATCCAGTGAAATTTGAAATTCCAATAATGAATATATTTTTCATATAAGTATGTCCTATGCAATATTTTCAAATAATTATACTTTAAAAATCATGCCATTTATCTGAAATTCAAATTAAATGTGCCATTCTGGATTTTTCTGCAAGCCTAGCCCCAGGAGATTATCAAATCCTCAGAGAAAAATGGCAACATGATGCATCCATGCAGGCTGGATTTTAGGTACTGATGTTTTTTACATTGCCAAAAGTTCTTATCCCAGGAAGAACTAAAATACGTGTGTTCAAAAGGCCACACAAACTTGAGAAACGAGGTTCTGATTAGTGAATATGATGATGTGAATGAAGAAGAAAGGGAATTTTCCACATATTATCACCCAGATTTCTCCAGAGAAAGAGAACCAGTGGGATCTATCTATCTCTCTATCTAGAGAGAGATTGATCAAATTATTATAAGGCATTGATTCGCATGATTGTGGAGGCTGAGAGTACCATAATCTCCCCTCAGCTGGAGACCCAGAAAAGCTGGCTGTGTAACTGAAATGCCCGAGAGCTAGAGAGCCGATGGTATAGATTCCAGTCTGTATCTAAAGCCCTGAGAGCCAGGATGGCTGAGGGCAGAAGATTGATATCCCAGCCTGAAAACAGGCAAAGAGAGTAAATTCTCTGTTTCTTGTTTTATTCAGGCCTCCAGTGGTTTATGAGGCAAACCCACATCTGGGAGGACAAACTGCTTTACTCAGTCTATAAATTCAAATGTTAATCTCATCCAGAAATGCCCTTACAGACATGCCTAAAACAATGTTTAACCAAATATCAGGGCATCTGATGGATCAACAAGTTGACACATAAAATTACCAAGCACAACACATGGCACTTCTTTACAAAAAGATCCTAACCTTCCTTATCCAAGATAACAAGATTGAATTTCCTTCCCAGGAGAATGTGCCTGAATCAAATTTAATTTAATAATAAAAAAAAGAAAGGAAACATTTCTTGTATACTTAAGTGTATATATCAAAAGATATATCTGCTGCAATGAAAATCTTATCAAAAAGTACCTTTTCTATGAAGTTATCACAATTTCATATGCTGTAAATTTGTTCTGCTCCATAGAAACAATATTGTTCCATATATGATTTCAAATTTGATTGTGACACTAAGTGTCTTATCTCAGTATCTCAAACCTCTGAATCTTTTATATCATCTCCCATGAATGAGTCACACAAAACTCATTTTTTAAGTTTCCCAATCAAAAAAGAATCTTACTGATAATAATAAAGCTATACACTTATTCAAAACTAAATTTATCAGGTTGGACAAATAAAACATAAAAAGGAAACAAATATGTTGACATAAGGCAAAGAAGTGCTATAAAGTCATATTTCATCACAGTTTAAAGCAATACTATGCTAGCCATATTTAATCTTTTGTTAGTGATAAGAAAAGAACATCTGGCCAGGTGAGGTGGCTCACGCCTGTAATCTCAGCACTTTGGGAGGCCGAGGCGGGCAGATCACGAGGTCAGGAGATCAAGACCAGCCTGGCCAATATGGTGAAACCCCGTCTCTACTAAAGATACAAAAAATTAGCCAGGTGTGGTGGCACGTGCCTGTAATCCCAGCTACTTGGGAGGCCGAGGCAGGAGAATCACTTGAACATGGGAGACAGAGGTTGCAGTGAGCTGGGATCGTGCCATTGCACTCTTGCTTGGGCAACAGGGCAAGACTCTGTCTCAAAAAAAAAAAAAAAACAACAAAGAAAAGAAAAGAACATCTATAACATAGGAGGGATAATACTTCAATGTGCATTATGCTTCCTCAATGCCTACAGGTACACACTCAGTTTAAGCAGAGAACACCTCCAAATAACGAATTACACACACTCAGGGTACAACTAAATACTCATATAATGAAATTTCATATATAAGCCAAGTGTTGACCTATGAATGGGAGAGATGAATTCCTGGGCTTTGTAAAATAGGTAATGCCTCTGAATTTAATTCCTTAGGATATAAATGACAATTTATGGCCTTGCTTTGTTGAGCAGGCATCTTCTTGGGGCAAATAATGTAGTGGATTTACAAGTCTATAAATGGAATATTTTAAGCTAAAATTTAAAAATACATATACGCAAAAATGGCACAATTTTAAAGGGGTCTATAAAATCTCTTACGTAGCTTTTGAAAATAGCCATGATGTGTTATACAGTATCTCCTCAATTCTAAGTTGCACTTTTTCCTCATATTTAACATTTCTAAAATCAGGATTAGGCTTTTCTTTGGTGAATGCATAAAATTTAGTGCTTATTTTTACCCTACAAAACTGTTATTAAATTGATAATATATCTTTAATAGTCATTTAAAAATAAATGACTATTGTATTTAGGTTGCTTAATAGAATAATCACAAATTTATGAAGATTTAAAGAGGTGTTTATTGATATCTAAAGTCCTCAAAAACTTACAGCCCTTAATTTTTTTCCAATTCTAAAACACATCTCTTCTTTTTATTTTATTTTATTTTTGAGACAGAGTTTCACTCTTGTCGCCCAGGCTGGAGTCCAATGGTGTGATCTCGGCTCACTGCAACCTCTGCCTCCCAGGTTCAGGCAATTCTCCTGCCTCAGCCACCCAAGTAGCTGGAATTACAGGTGCCCGCCATCACGCCCAGCTAATTTTTCTGTATTTTTAGTAGAGACAGGATTTCACTATGTTGGTCAGGCTGGTTTCGAACTCCTGACCTCGTGATCTGCCTGCCTAGGCCTCCCAAAGTGCTGGGAATGCAGGCATGAGCCACCGCACCTGGCCCAAAACATGTCTCTTCTAATAAATTTCTGCATCTGAGCAGATTTTTATTGTTGTCTCTTTGGGGAATGAGTTTTTTATTGAGTGGGTCCCTATTCCAGGCTGGTTTGGGGGCCAAAATGCCAAAATGATGTCTGGTTTTCATTTGGAGAACACAAAACCTGAAGCCTAGATCAAATTATCTTTAGGGAAGTAGAAAAAAATGAAGTCTACATTCTGATTCCATTTTTCATACCTGTTCTTTTTTTTCTACCCAGGGTGGCCAACTTTGGATCCTTTTTTCTAAATCTGTATAAATGTAAGAGATATACATGCTATTTTGTTACATGGCTATACTGCTTAATGGTGAAGTCTGGGCTTTTAGTGTGTCTGTCATCTGAATAATGTATGTTCTACTCTAGATATATTTTTACACATACTTTTGCTAAAAATGACTAGGAATGATTGTGCTAATAGGACCTATAAGATCCCTAAAATTAACTAGAACATTTTTGAAGATATGTTAATCTTTTACAGTGGTTTCAATTATTCTATAACCAGTAATAAACTTAGAATTTAGGCACTTAAGAAATTATCAGTGATAAATATTATCACAGACAATATTTCCCTTAGAAATATTTCTGGGACAAGTTGTGTCCCTCATGTTATAGAGAATATTGTAGCTGCCACAAAATGATTTTTAAATTCTAAGGAAAGGGAGGGTATTCCTCCCCAGTGCTCAACTGCCATCCCAAGAACTCAAATTGAAAAAGGAAAATAATAATCAATAATACAATTAAACACATTTTACAAAATTGACTGATGTTCAAAAAACAAAGGCAGGAAAGTAACACTTAGACTTAGTGCTGCTAATATGTTAACATATGCTAAGTAAATCATGGCAATTTGGGGAAATATTGTTATGTGAGTTACTAGGAGGCTTCAGCCTGGAGCAAGCAATGTTAAGGTAGTATTAGTCACAGGCTTTCTCTGAAAACAGAAGAGAAAAAAAATGATTCAGTCTTGGGAGGGTGCATGTGTCCAGGAATGTATCTATTTCTTCTAGGTTTTTTAGTTTATGTGCATAGAAGTGTTTATAGTATTCTCTGATGGCTCTTTGTATTTCTGCAGGGCCTTTGGTGAATCCCTCTTATTCTGTGTTTGTTTGAATCTTCTCTCTTTTCTTCTTTATTAGTCCAATTAGTGGTCTATCTATTATATTAGTTTTTTCAAAAAACCAGCTCCTGGATTTGTTGATTTTTTGAAGGGTTTTTTATGTCTCCATTTCCTTCAGTTCAGCTCTGATCTTGGTTATTTCTTTCTTTCTTTCTTTTTTTTTTTTTTTTTTTTTTTTTTGAGATGGAGTCTTACTCTGTGGCCCAGGCTGGAGTGCAGTGGTGGGATCTCTGCTCACTGCAAGCTCTGCCTCCCGGGTTCAAGCCATTCTCCTGCCTCAGCCTCCTGAGTAGCTGGGACTACAGGAGCCGGCCACCACGCCTGGCTAATATTTTGGATTTTTAGTAGAGATGGGGTTTCACCATGTTAGCCAGGATGGTCTCGATCTCCTGACCTCGTGATCTGCCCGCCTCGGCCTCCCAAAGTGCTGGGATGATCTTGGTTATTTCTTATCTTCTGCTAGCTTTGGGGTTTGTTGCTCTTGGCTCTCTAGTTCTTTTAGTTGTGATGTTAAGTCGTTAAGTTGAGATCTTTCTAGCTTGTTGATGTGGGAATTTAGTACTATAAATTTCCATCTTAACAATGCTTTAGCTGCATCCCAGAGATTCTGGTACCTAGTATCTTTGTTCTCATTAGTTTCAAAGAACTTCTTGATTCCTGCCTTAATTTCATTATTTACCAAGAGTCAATTGAGGCAATAATAAATAGCCTACCAACCAAAACAAGCCCAGGACCAGACAGATTCACAGCTGAATACATCCAGAGGTACAAAGAAGAACTGGTACAATTCCTACTCAAACTATTCCAAAATGA
This sequence comes from Homo sapiens, assembly GCF_000001405.40. Classification (NCBI taxonomy): domain Eukaryota; kingdom Metazoa; phylum Chordata; class Mammalia; order Primates; family Hominidae; genus Homo; species Homo sapiens. The sequence goes on from NC_000002.12 coordinate 187,901,226, forward strand.
AAAGGAGGGACTCCCCCCTAACTCATACTATCAGGCCAGCATCATCCTGATAACAAAACATGGCAGAGATACAACAAAACAAAACAAAAAAACAAAACAAAAACTTCGGGCTAATATTCTTGATGAACATCAATGCAAAAATCTTCAGCGAAGAGCTGGTAAATCAAATCCAGCAGAATATCAAAAAGATATCCACCATGATCAAGTAGGCTTCATCCCTGGATGTAAGGTTGTTGAACATGCACAATTCAATAAATACGATTCATCACATAAATAGAAGACAAAAAACACATGATTATCTCAATAGATGCAGAAAATGCCTTCAGTAAAATTCAACATTCCCTCATGTTAAAAACTCTTAGTAAACTAAGTATTGAAGGCACATACCTCAAAATATTAACAGCCATATATGACAAACCCACAGCCAATAACATCTGAATGAGCAAAAAGCTGGAAGCATTCCACTTGAAAACCAGCACAAGACAAGGATTCCCTCTCTCACCACTCTTATTCAACATAGTATTGAAAGTTCTAGCCAGGGCAGGCCGGGCGCGGTGGCTCAAGCCTGTAATCCCAGCACTTTGGGAGGCCGAGGCGGGTGGATCACGAAGTCAAGAGATCGAGACCATCCTGGCTAACACGGTGAAACCCCATCTCTACTAAAAATAGCCAGGCGTGGTGGCGGGTGCCAGTAGTCCCAGCTACTGGGGAGGCTGAGGCAGGAGTGAACCCAGGAGGCAGAGCTTGCAGCGAGCCGAGATCGCGCCACTGCACTCCAGCCTGGGCGACAGGGCGAGACTCCGTCTCAAAAAAAAAAAAAAGAAAGTTCTGGCCAGGGCAATCAGGCAAGAGAAAGAAATAAAACATTCTAATAGGAAGAGAGAAAGTTAAACTCTTTGTTTGCAAATTATATGATCCTAAATCTACAAGACCCCATGTCTCAGCCCAAAAGCTTCTTAAGGTGATAAGCAACTTCAGCAGTCTCAGGATACAAAAGCAATGTGCAAAAATTATGAGCATTCCTATACACCAACAACAGTCAATTTGAGAGCCAAATCAGGAATGAACTCCCATTCTCAATTGCCACAAAAAGAATAAAATACCTAGGAAACCTAGGAATACAGCTAACCAGGGAGGTGAGAGATCTCTTCAAGAAGAACTAAAACCAGTGCTCAAAGAAATCAGAGGTGACCCAAACAAATGGAAAAACATTCCATTCTCATGGATAGAAAGAATCTATATCATTAAAATCACCTTATTGCTCAAAGCAATTGATAGATTCAATGCTATTTCCATTAATCTACCATTGACATTCTGCACAGAATTAGAAAAAACCTATTTTAAAATTCATATGGAACTGAAAAAGAGCCTGAATAGCCAAGACAATCCTAAGCAAAAAGAACAAAGCTGAATGTATCACGCTACCCAACTTCAAACTCTACTACAAGGCTACAGTAACCAAAACAGCATGGTACTGGTGCAAGAACATACTCATAGACCAATGGAACAGAATAGAGAAACCAAAAATAAGACCACACACCTACAACCATCTGATCTTCAGCAAACCTTTCAAAAACAAGCAATGGGTAAAGGATTCCCTATTTAATAAATGGTGCTGCAATAACTAGCTAGCCATATGCAGAAGACTGAAACTGGTCCCCTTCCTTATACCATACACAAAAATCAACTCAAACGGAATAAAGACTTAAATGTAAAACCCCAAACTATAAAAAACCCAGAAGAAAATATAGGCAATATCATTCGGGACATAGGCACAGGCAAAGAATTTATGATGAAGATGCCAAAAGCAATTGCAACAAAAGCAAAAATTGACAAATGGAATCTAATTAAATTAGAGAGCTTCTGCACAGCAAAAGAAACTATCATCAGAGTAAACAGCCTACAAAATGGGATAAAATTTTTGCAATCTACCCATCTGACAAAGGTCTAATATCCCACATCTACAAAGAACTTAAACAAATTTAAAGAAAAAAAGCAAACTCCATCAAAAAGTGAGCAAAAGACATGAACAGACACTTCTCAAAAGAAGACATACATGTGGCCAACAAATATATGAAAAAAAAAAACTCAGCATCACTGATCATTAGAGAAATGCAAATAAAAACCACATGAGATACCATCTCATACCAGTCAGAATGGCTATTATTAAAAAGTCAGAAAAACAACAGATCCTGGTGAGGTTGTGGAGAAAAAAGAACACTTTTACACTCTTCTTGGGGGGTGTAAATTAGTTCAACCATTGTGGAAGACTGTGTGGTGATTCCTCAAAGACCTAGAGGCAGAAATACCATTTGATCCAGCAATTCCATTACTGGGTCTATACCCAAAGGAATAGAAATCATTGTATTATAAAGATACATGCACATATATGTTCCTTGCAGCAGTATTCACAATAGCAAAGACATGGAATCAACCCAAATGCCCATCAATCATAGACTGGATAAAGAAAATGTGGTACACCATGAAATACTAGGTAGCCGTAAAGAGGAATGAGGTTGTTTCCTAAAAAGGAACATGAATGCAGGTAGAAGCCAGTATCCTCAGCACACTATTATAAGAACAGAAAATCAAATACTGCATGTTCTCCCTTATAAGTGGTAGCTGAATAATGGACACATGGACACACGATGGGGAACACCACACACTCGGGCCTGTGGGAGGGTGGGGGATAGGAGCAGGGAGAGTATTCAGAAAGAATAGCTAATGGAGACTGGGCTTAATATCTAGGTGATGGGATGATCTGTACAGCTAATCACCATGGCACATGTTTAACTATGTAACAAACCTGCACATACTGTACATGTATCCCTGAACTTAAAATAAAAGAATGAAAACAGAAAAAGAATTGAAGCTTGGCTGGAATCCACCTGAACCAAAGAACTCTGCTTGCAGCTTGCATAGAAAGAGTTCACATTGTGTCCCTGTTTAATGTAATCAGTAGCCCTTCTTTGTAAATTAAAAATAAATCCCTTTTCCCTAGTAATGTTTAAAAAGAAGAGGAAAAACGTCCTATCTTCTAAAAAGTAATTAGTCTTGCAGAATGTTTCTTTCAACATCTTGTCCCTAGAAACAGAAATGAAGGGGAAAGCTGTCATACTCCATTGATCCAATTGGTAACAATTTGAAAATACGTTCCTAGCTAATTGAATTGGCCCCTAGCACCAAATAAATTGACAACTGTGAAATTCTTCTACTAATTTCAAGTCTTTTAAATTGCACAGCTCAAAAGAAGTTTTAAAAAGTTAAAAAAGAATGAAAGACTTTATAGTAATTTTGTTATATTTAAAACTTCAAATATTAAGAAGTTTCTGAAATATAAATGATACTAACTTTGTAGACCCCAAACTTCTAGCACTCAGAGAGCTTGATAATTCTCATTGTGACTCAAAATGGGATTTTCCACAAGATTGTTCCATGGAATAATATTTTTGTATGATAACCTTATTGCATAAAAATTGCATGGTCAAATAGTTTGGGCACTACCGTACATTCTATCCACCTGGCAGTAAGAAAGTTTATTGTTTATGTTTAATATACTTCCCCAGATATGTTTAATTTATATATGTTGATTGTACATATAATTCTAATCATTAGTAAACTTCATCAGTCCCTTACTGGAAAAATTTTTTTCTTGGTGTCAGGGACACAGTTCTTTCTACTTTCCTCCTCCCTCAGTGGCAGATCCTTTTCAGTCTTATTAGGTGGATCATTCGCCTCTTCCTAAACTATTAAAATGGACTCTTCTTCATCTTCATCTATACTCCATTTACATCCATCTTCAGGTGATCTCAATGAATTCTACATGTTAAAAAGCATATTAGGCCAGGTGTGATGGCTCACACCAGTAACCCCAGCACTTCGGGAGGCTGAAGTGGATGGATCTCTTGAGGCCAATAATTCAAGACCAGCCTAGGCAAGGCAACATGGCAAAACCCTGTCTCTACTAAAAATACAAAAATCAGTCGGGTGTGGTGGCTCATGCCTATAATCCCAGCTACTCAGGTGGCTGAGGCACGAGAATCGCTTGAACCTGGGAGGCAGAAGTTGCAGTGAGCTGAGACCATGCCTGAGCAAGACTCTGTCCAAAAAAAAGAATTAAAAAATATATATATATATTAGACCTACATTTATATACACAGTGCCAACAATTCTCCTATAATCAAGACTGGAATATTTAATAGACATCTCAATCGTATATGTAAACTGACATACTGTTAAACCCCCAAACTCTGTTTCTCCCTCCAATCCCACAGTGTTCAGAATACTTTATGTCATCACACTTCATTATAATGTTGAGATTTTTATAAAAGAACAAAAATTAGGGGTTCATCTTTGATTCTGTAAAACCTCTAATAACTGATATCCAATTAATTAGTATACAATTTCAGCTCTACAGTCAAAATACTTTCTATATTAGATGATTTTGCTATTACCTTGATCAATCGCTATTTGCCTGAACTACTGCTATTGGCATCCTACTAATATTTTTGTTTGCACATTTATCCTTAATGCAATCTATATTCTATAGAAAAGACAACATAGGTCTTTTAAAATATAAATTATACAATGTCATTGCTACAGTCTGAATGTTTATGTCCCCCACAAATATATATGTTGAAATCCTAACCCCTGATGTGATGGTGTTAGGAGGTGGGGCCTTTTGGGAAGTGAGTAGGTTCTGAGGTTGCTTGGAGCCCTCATGATTGGGCTTAGCATCCTTATAAAAATAGTGAGAGAGAGCTAGCTAGCCTCTTCAGTCATATGAGGTTACAGTGAAAAGATATGTCTGTGAAGGAAGTGGGCCCTTACCAGACACTATTCTGCTAATGTCTTGACCTTTCCAAATGTCGGAACTGTGAGAATAAATTTGTTTTTTTACAAGCTACTCAATTTGTGATCTTTTTTTTAATATAACAGCCTGAATGGACTAAAACAGTCAATGTCCTAACTCAACTATTTGAAGACACTGAATAATGAACAAAATTTGGCAGAAAATCAGAAGTAGTCAACTCTTGAAAGAAGGGAACTATGGAAGAATCATATGTACGTGACTTTTTGCCTGAAGGTATTTCCTGTAGCACAGCATAGCTGGAAGTGAAAGTTGCAATGCTGAAAAGGGAATTTATATTTTTATAATCGGAAAAAACATGTTTTAAATATAGGACTTAGGTTGCACCATAAGAAGTTAGGGAAAGATGTGCAAATAAACCCAAAATAAGTTAAAAAAAAGACAATAATGAAGGACAGAAATCAGTGAAATAGGGAATGGGCAAACAGTAAAAAATTTTAACAAAGCCAGTGGTTTACCCTTTAAAAAGACTAGTAAAATTGATAAGCCATTAGTAAAACAAATCAAGAAAGAAAGAGAAAATCAATATCAATACCCAAGGAATATCAATAACAGGAATTAAGAGAGGATAACACTATAGATCGTTGCAAACATCAAAAAATAAGAAAGAACGATTTTAAACAACTATAGGATAGCACAGTAGTCAATGATTTAAGTAAAAGCCATTTTTCAAGTTCAGGTTATGAAATCTGACACAAGTTCAATTAGAAAATCTGAATAATTCTGGAGGACATTGTGTTAAATGAAACATGCCAAGCACAGAAAGACAAATACCACATGATGTCACTTTTATGTGAAATCTTAAAAAGGTGAAATCATAAAAGCATTGAGTAGAAAAATGGTGTTTACCTGGGGCTGGGGGAATTGGGGTGGTAGTTTGGGGAAATGTTAGTCAAATGATACAAAATTTCAGCTAGACAAAAGGAATAAGTTCAAGAGATCTATTGCAGGGCATGGTGGTGTAGATAATAGCAACGTATTTTACACAATAAAGTTGCTAATATAACAGATTTTAAGTGATCTCGCTACAAAAAAAAAGTCAAGTAATGTATGTAAATTAGCTTGATTTAGCCGTTCCACAATGCATACCTATTTCAAAACATCATGTTGCACACCATAAATATATACAATTTTTATTTGTTAATTAAAAAATCAAAAAGGAAGAAAAGAATAAAAGAAGTCCTTAAATAGTTCCCCCAGCCAAATTTGAGATATTTTGAATATCAAATTAAATAATTATAGTCATGCATTATAACTTGTTGAAAAAAATAGAAATTCATAATTTAATACTGATGCAAATGAATGAATGAAGCAACAAAATATCTTCCTTAACACTGTGGAAGGTGAACTAATATATATAGAAAGAATGATGGAGTTAGAAAATCATATATTGCAGTGGTAAAATTTTTATTAGACATGGGATATTGAAATAGTTTCAATCCGCCCACAAATAATTAGTTTTCAGGGGAAAAATAGGAACTTTGCCATTGGAAAAAGGGGTGAATACCATCTAATGAACTGATCAAAATTAATATCAAAAATATTGGAACAAAGCAAGATAATATGCTTTTTAATGTGATGTACTGAGAAGACACATCATGTTTGCAGTATATTTCTGCCAAGAATGTACAATTTGAATCTAATCATGAAGAAGCAGCAAATAAATAAAAATTGGATACATTGTATAAAATAACTGACCTATACTCTTTAAAAAACGACAAGGATAAGAAGATAGTAGAAGGCAGTACAACGTTTTTTAGATTAAAGGGCAATAAAGAGACATGACAACTAAATGAAATACCTGATCATAGATTAGATCCTAAGTTGGGGAAAAAACAATTGTAACGGTCATTATTGTTACAATTCACTAAATTCAAATATACACCATAATGTAGACAATAGTATTACATCAATATCACATTTTCTGATTATGATAAATTTGATTAAGTAAAAGAATGTTCTTTGTAAGCAATGTACAATGAAATATTTAGGAGTAAACGGGCAGAAAATCTGTGATTTATTCTTGAATTATATAGGAAAAATCACTGATGTGTAGACCTATGTCCCTCTTTATTCAAGTCTTTGTTTACATACTACCTCCTCACAGAGGGCTTTTCTGATTTCCCTTCCTACTATAACTGTCATCAATTTTCTATTTTTAATCCTTATTTTTTGCAGCACTTATTTCTAATCAACATATTACATACTCATTTTTAATTGGTTCATGTGCTTTATTTGTCTCCTTCTAGATAGAATACAAAATCTGCGGGGGCAAGGACTTTGTTTTTTCACTACTCAATCTCTAGCACCAAACAATGATTGGCATATAATTTGACTATAAATATTTCTAAATGAAATTTTTGTAAATCAAATATTTGTAAGTGAAATATTTGGAAATGAAATGAATTACGGTTTTAAAATGTAATTCCGATGAACACACAGCGGGTTTGTGTGGAGCAAACATTGGGAAACAGTGATATAAAAAAGGTTTAAATATTTTATCTATTTTGGTAAATTTGGGAATCAAAGGACTCCAAGTTATTTTTGAAAAATAAAAAGAAAGACATTACTGTGACAATTACAGATAACAGTCTTATACTCTAAGAAAAAAAATGGATCATTATCTCAAGATCCTGATCTAGAGACACACTGAAACCAGCAGGTGAAGAAGAGCCTGTGTCTTTTCAAGTTTAACTCAAACCTGTCCTGCAGCCTCACCATCTACTTTGTTGTCCAACAAGCCTTCACAAGAGCACTGTTTCTCAAACAAGTATATTCTTCCTTGCCTTCTGGTTTTCGCTCACCCAGCTCACACAATTACCTCTGCCTACAATGCTTTTCTTTTAGTGGCCTAGACCTAACTAAAATGACACTATCTTTTTGAAGTCTTTCCTGACCCTTCCAGGCAGTTAGATTATGTCTCTTCAAAGGTTTCATGCTAACCCATATGCATCTTTTTCATAGCACTTAGCATATTATATTTGGAATTATGTTTACATTAACATCTCCCATTGGTGTAATATCCTTAATGATGGGAACCATGCCTGACCCAGCTTCATAAATGTCAATTTTAGCCCATTGATCTTCACATGCTATGTACATGCTTAGATTGTTGTTGCTGGCTTTATGTTTTATTTTGTTTTTTACTTTTTTCTCCCAGAGAGATTTGTGAATAAATCATCAATAAAATGACATAGTAGACATTGCTTTACTTCTCCAGGTATATGACAAGTTTGTTATGTTCTTACATTAGGAAAATAAACTCTCTCAAAAAAGGAGTCAGACAACTAGTATCCAGAATCCATGTACTCAAAAATGTCAACCCCTCAGGAAACAGTCAATAAGATGCAAATGAAAAGACCTTTGAACTACCTTAGGAAATGTCACTAACTTTATTAATAAACAAACATGCAATTTATTAACAGCAGAATCCCCTAGTATTCTCTATTTATCACTATTTCAGAAAAAATCTATCACATTTGTTTTACAGTTTAAGAGCAGGAAAGTATTTAGAAAATGTAAAGTGGTTGCTAGAACTAAGTGTACTAACTAGTTCTAGTTCTGATAGGTTGTATTCAGATAAAGTGGGAAAAGAAAAAAAAATCATGAAAATAAACCTTAAAAATGTAAAAAGTTCAGTGTGATCATTTACTGTAAAGGTTAGCAGTCCAAAATACTTGACTAGTCCCTGAATTAATAAATCAAGCATATTCTACTTAAAGAGTATAGTGTAAAATATTTTTGGAAATATTTCCTGCAGAACTGGAAAATTAAAATAAAGCTTTTTTACCCTTAGAAATACAAGCTTTTGTTTTCAAAAAAATTAACCCATGTAAAATGGTTCATCCACTACACAAGCCTTTAAAATTGCTATTCTGAGATTAACTGGATCTATTGTCCTTGAAAAAAATGATGTTTTGTTTAACTATTATTGGAAGATAATAATTTCCAGCAACACAGATGCTTTCATTTTTATAAGGCAAGGCATTTATTTTGAAATCAGGAATCTTTCAAAGAAAAATACCATAACGAATGTTCTCTGTGCACAGCACCTTATTTTAAAAGTATTCATATGAACCTCTGGACATTTCATGCCTTTAGAGGGAACCATTACAAGATAATGAGCTATGAAATGGCAAGCATTAATCTCTACGTAGTCTTTCAAAGGGAAAATCATTTCCCTTAGGCATCTGATACTGCCAAAGAGCTACTGACTACTCCTAAAGGAGGTAATATTTAGGATTTTTTTTTAGAAAAAAGTTATAACTTGGTGATTTCAATATAAAAATATGGCATAAAGTTTCAAGACTTAAGAAAGATAAAGTTGTTTTAAAGTGCACATTTAGTACATTTGCATTTTAAACCTGCAGAAACACAGAAACTCTAGCAAAGCAAAAGTAAAATTAGAAACACTATGCAAGCTGTGTCATTAACTGTTCTTACAGGCTAAATAGTTTAATTAAAATTTTATTTTTATGTATTTTTATTTCTTTTGAATGTGTTGTTTAAAACTTTTTTTTAATTTATTTATTTATTATTTATTTTTTATTATACTTTAAGTTTTAGGGTACATGTGCACATTGTGCAGGTTAGTTACATATGTATACATGTGCCATGCTGGTGCGCAGCACCCACTAACTCGTCATCTAGCATTAGGTATATCTCCCAATGCTATCCCTCCCCCCTCCCCCCACCCCACAACAGTCCCCAGAGTGTGATATTCCCCTTCCTGTGTCCATGTGATCTCATTGTTCAATTCCCACCTATGAGTGAGAATATGCGGTGTTTGCGGTGTTTGGATCTTTGACAAACCTGAGAAAAACAAGCAATGGGGAAAGGATTCCCTATTTAATAAATGGTGCTGGAAATTTATTAAAATTATAAAATTTTAATAAATTTTATAATTTTAATATAAATTTATTAAAATTATAAAATTTAATTTTTATAAATTAAATTATAAAATTTTTATAAATTTTTATAAATTAAATTATAAAATAAATTAATTTTATAAATTATAAAATTTAATATAAATTTATTAAAATTATAAAATTTTAATAAATTTAATAAATTTTAATATAAATTTATTAAAATTATAAAATAAAACTGGCTAGCCATATGTAGAAAGCTGAAACTGGATCCCTTCCTTACACCTTATACAAAAATCAATTCAAGATGGATTAAAGACTTAAACGTTAGATCTAAAACCATAAAAACCCTAGAAGAAAACCTAGGCATTACCATTCAGGACATAGGCATGGGCAAGGACTTCATGTCTAAAACACCAAAAGCAATGGCAACAAAAGACAAAATTGACAAATGGGATCTAATTAAACTAAAGAGCTTCTGCACAGTAAAACTCTTTTCTCAGAAGGAGTAGCTTTTAATTTACTGTCATTCGTTACCTCTGTTCTCTATTCATGTGACAAAATTCATGGCTACAAATTCCATGATTTGATGACTTTAAGCAGATATTAGTGCATCAGAATTATTTAGAGTTAATGATATGAATGCATGTTATAAAAGAGCAAAATAATAATTCTTTGGTTTTCGGTTTTGTTTTGTTTTTTTTTTTTTTTTTTTTTTGAGATACAGAGTCTCCCAGTGCTTCCCAGGCTGGGATGAAATTGCTATTCATGCAATCATAGTTCACTAAAGCCTTGAAATTCTGCCTCAGCTTCCCCAGTAGATGAGATTACAGGTGTGCAACACTGTGCCTGGCTCAATATTTCTTTAAACAACATGAATTAGATATAATGCGGAAATTTGTCCTCCCATTGATCTGTAGCCAGTTTTCATTAGCTTATTTATCTGTCTGTATAGTTCTCCTTCATCTCTCCTTTACAACTCTGGACACTTCACTCCTAAACCTTAGCACATTTGTGCGAAAAAAAAAAAGAGAAAAGAGTAACCAAAAAAAAAAAAAAAACCATTAAATTAAGCATTCCATATCACCAAATGATTGATGAAAAATCTCTTTACTAAATCTATTTTAGAATTTCAAATATTCCATTGTGGTTTATATTACAATAAAAACTCTTAAGGAACAGTACATTTTAGTAATAAAACACTTAGACAAAAATATGTTAAATGTTATCCAAAATCACATAGAAATGTACTAATGAGCATTAATAATTATATTTTTGTTAATAAAAGTATCTTAGCTATTAAGCAATAGCTAAGATATACTGGTTTTTATTAAAAGTAAAAACATCTCAGTATATCTGATATTGCTTAATATCTCAGATATACTGCATAGTAAAACACAGATGGTCACTGAGGTGTAAACATATTCATCCCTAAAATTTGAATTTTTTTTGTATTCTGGTCTTTTCCCTGACAGTATTTATGCTGATCACTTAGTCTCTTTAGTTTCTCAGAAGTTTATTTACCCTTTTTTTTTTTTTTTAAAGAGACCCAAGCTGGTCTTAAACTCCTGGGCTCAAGTGATACACCTTTCTCAGGCTCCCTAAGTGCTTGGAATACAGGTGTAGGCCACCATGCCTGGCCTTCTCTTTTTTCTGGTCCTCTTTTATTTTTCTCTTCAGGTTCACAGAGTCAAGTTAATTGCATCACAGCATTCTCAGCAGTACATCCAAGATGCTAACTGGTTTCATATTATTATCCATCCCCATGACTGCTTCATTTCTCTCTGAGGTAAGCACTAAAATAGTTGATATATGCAAAGAAGCACACACAGTTGGTTAAGCTTGTGAATTCTGGGGCCAGACAGACAAGGTTAGAATACTGGCTTCAATTATATCCTAGCTGTGTTTGTGACTATTCATGTTACTTATAGTCTACACTAGTTCTTCTGCAACACAAACTTAACAATATCTGTATCTTAAGTTGTTCTAGGATTTGTTATTTACATTTGTATAAATAAACAAACATAAATATATGTATATGTATATAACAGATATACTTTTTTATTTGTATAAATTTAAGAGGTGCAAGTGAAGTTTAGATACATGATATATTGAGTAGTGGTGAAGTCTGGGCTTTTAATATAACCATCATCTGAATAATGCACATTGTACCCATTGAGTAATTTCTGAGTCATCCCTCACCCTCCTCCCACCCTTTCAAGTCTCCAGTGTCTATTATTCTACACTCTACATGTGACAAATATTTAGCTACAACTGTATGTTCTTATACATGTATTTATTTCCTTAAAAAATATTTCTATAAAATAATCTTATGCAGTTTCTTACATTTTTCCTCAAAAGTGTATTTTTTAAGATCCATCAGTGTTGCTTTATATAAAAGTAGTTAATTGCTTCTGAGTTTTGAATAGTAATTCCATTATGTGGATCCCATATGTTACATTTTCATTCCCAGAGAAATAAACAGAAAAAGCTACTTTAAGCATTTATTCATTCATTTTTCCATATTGATCTGCATGAAAGCAGGCAATATACCTGAGAGTGTTTCTACTGAGTAACAAAGCACATAAATATTTCCTTTCAATAGTTCTATTGGATTAGATTTTGGAATGTCTGTAGCAATTAATCTCCTCTAAGGAAAGAAAGAGGGTGTTTTCCCAGAGCTTTGCCAAATCTTTGCATTAATGGGTGTTTTACCATTCGGAGGTAGGCAATTTAGAATGTATTTGTATACCTATACATAATTTTATAAAAGAATCCAAGTTTAGTTTTTTCTATTTGATAAGCCCTTTACCCAAATTAGATTACCCAATGATTTGTCGCAACAGCTTTATTATGCATGAAATTCTCATAGACATATCTTTATATGGGAATTGCCTTCCAGTCTCTTTGTTCCTGTGTCTTATTCATGGGTGAATAGCTCATTGTTTTTATTCCTGTACCTGTGCCTTTTCATTTTATATGTATATATATGTATATATACACACACACATATATATATATACACACATATATATTTATATACACACATATATATATACACACATATATATATGACTTTTATTTTCTAGGTACATTTTGGAATAAATATACAAGTATCATGATTAGATTTTGTTTGGGAAATATATTGATTTTACAGATATATTGGGAGAATTGAGGGTTAAAGGGTTAAGTTATCCAGAAACTTGTCTCTTGTATTTATTCAGACTTTTATAATATCATCTAATATCTAGCAAATGTCTAAAAATATCTTTCATACTACTTGCTAAGTATAACCAAGATTCTGTATGGATTTTGTTATTAGTGAAGGCATATCTTCTTTTCTTTATTTTAATGAATTATTTGAAACATACAGAATAATAGAATTAAGACTCAGCTACCCACAATTTAACTTTGCTAATTAAATATTTTACCATATTTACCTAACTTATTATTTTAAGCAATGAAATATTAGTTGGAGTACTTCTTGAGCTTCTCTCCAATCCCTCTCATCATTTTTCCTTCTCTTATCAGAGTTAACTCTTCTGAATTAATCATTTGTATTTCTTATATATACTTGTCTGCTTTTACTATACACATATGTAAATTTTTAAAGTTTTAAAATGTGAAATAAATAATACACTGCATTGAAACTTCATTGTTGAATTAAAAATCTGGTTTGATACAGAAAAAAAGAAAAGAAAACAATAAACTAATGTGTTCACTCAGAGTTTATTTACCTCCTAAATGATTAACAGCAGGTAAAATTTATGATTACTTTCTCCTACACTGGGTATTTGCTTTGACTTCATGTAAATATTAAAAATGTTTCAAAAACTGAAAGTTCACACAAATATAATGTCTATAATTTATCGCTTTTTATTGGGTTTTTTAATTTTTTTGTTTCTTAAGTTGGAAATTGACAAATTATAGTTGTATATTTGACCCTTGAACAACACAGGGCTTAGGGGTTAGGAGCGCCGACTCCTCATGCAGTCGAAAATCTGCATATAACTTTTGACTCCCCAAAAACTTAACTACTAATAGCCTACTATTGACATTCTTTGCCAATAATATAAAGAATTAACACATATTTTATATGTTAAATGTATTACATACTGTATTCTTACAATAAAGTAAGCTAGAAAAACAAAAATGTTATTAAGAGAATCATAAGGAAGAGAAAATATATGAGTATCCACTAAGTGGAAGTAAATCATCATAAATATCTTCTTCCTCATCATCTTCATGTTTAGGCAGAGGAGGAGGAAGAGGAGGGATTGATTGGTCTTGCTGTCTCAGGGGTGGCAGAGGTGGAAGAACATCCACATATAAGTGGATTGCCACAGTTCAAACTCATGGTTCAAGGGTAAATTGTAGTTCATTGAATTTCTTTAAGAAGATTATTCTGGCCAGGTGCGGTGGCTCACGCCTGTAATCCCAGCACTTTGGGAGGCCGAGGCGGGTGGATCACGAGGTCAGGAGTTTGAGACCAGCCTGACTAACATGGTGAAACCCCGTCTCTACTAAAAATACAAAAATTAGCCAGGTGTGGTGGTGGGCACCTATAATCCCAGCTACTCGGGAGGCTGAGGCAGGAGAATCGCTTGAACCCGGGAGGTGGAGGTTGCAGTGAGCTGAGATGATCATTCCACTGCACTCCAGCCTGGGCGACAAGAGCAAGACTCCGTCTCCAAAACAAAGAAGATTATTGTGAATTCTTTGTCTGTCATTTAATATCATTTAATAGATCTCTTTTTTTGGAGACCATTGTTGAGGCTTTGCTGGTGCTGTTTTTTTTTTGTTTTGTTTTTGTTTTTTGGAAGTGTCATAATTTCCTAGTTGTTTGCAATCCTTGTCTTCTGGTGCTGCTGTCTTTGCATTTGAAGAGACAGCTACCTTTTCTGGGTTTCTGGTGTGTTTGGCAGGGATAAACCTTCACTGTTTAGCTAGTGATTATGGATGGGTCAAGGATAACAACACTGGGGAACAGAACTTGTTTGGATTCTCTAAATGGCTGAGCTGTTGCTTTTAGTCTGAGTGGAGGTGGGGCAGCTGGCTGGGCTCCGCGATTATGCTGAGCTGCTGGATGAGTACTGCAATCACCTCTAATTTGGCCAGCCCACACGGTATATTCCATGGCCATATGGTACTGCTATTTGAGTTCATCAGTTGGACAGGGTTGCAGGAGGGGCCCGGAGGTTAGGTGCAGTTGCTGATTGGAATGGACAGGACCAGTTGCTATGCAAAGCAGAAATGTACAATGGAGGTTTACCTCTCTGCCTTCACAGGGTTTTGAGGTGAGCTTTGAGGCTGAATTGAGTGCTATTTAAATTCTCGGGGAGGGGTACAAATCTAACCCCTGATTTTCGCCAAGTGCTGTTAACCTCCCAGGAGTTGTGGAACTAGCCCCTGCTCTTTGCTGAAATTCGCTGTAGTAGTTGTCTCCATTCCTGGGTGGGATCCCAAGGTACAATCCAAGGCTGGTCCTACAGGTTGGCCATCTAAGGATTCCAGGCAGGTAAAACTTTTTATCAGTTTTGCGAGTGACCAGCTGAGTTTCATGAGCTCTGATACCATTGGCAGGTATGCAGAGCTACCACCAAGATGTGTGCTGGGTGCTGTGGGCTCCACTTTCTTTGTTTCTACCTGAACCTGGGTAGTCTAGCCACCCTGGAAAGTGTTTTAAAATGCTAGGGAATCTAAATGTCAATCTCTGCTTCCATTTTTTCTCTGTAGAAAGCATGATCCCTGGGGGATCCTTTCTATGTAGTACTATGCTGACTTGGGGTTGGGGAGGGGCAGCACAGTCAAAGACCATTTCTCTTACCATTCCCATGTGGGTTTTATTACATTTTATGAGCCACCTAGGTGACTCAGGCTTATTTCCAGTTTGGGAGGCTTTCACCAAGGCATTTTTGTCTGTGGATAGTTGCTAGTTAAACGTTTTGTGGCAGGTAGTGCAACTGAACTCAGGTTTAGCTGCTCACTGCTCAAAAGCCAAAACTTATTTGGGTGAGGACACAAAGCCAAATCACATCAGGTTATAAAACCTGAAACTAACCCAATAGTCCCATAGACAGCTGTCTTTGGATAAACATAGAAATTGATCCTCTGGTTTTAATCCATTTCCCCATTAGAAAAAAAAAAGAGTGCAGCTCACTGTCAGTGCAGTATTCTCCAGGCAAACTTAAGGCTTGAAACTTCACATTTGTTTTATCTGAGTTCCTTCCTCAGGAAAAGATTCCCAGGCCTTTCAAAAAGTATCAGCGAACTGAAACTCACCCAATCAAGGCATGCAAATAATGAAATGCCAGGCCCCTCATTCATCATGATTGCCTTCTTACTCCTGAGATCCTGTTTTATATATAGTTACATTTCTTCCTTGCTATATAAACCCCTAATTTCAGTCAATCAGGGAGATGGATTTGAGACTGAGCTCTCATCTTCTCTACCGGAACACCCGCTTAAAGCCTTCTTCCTTGGCACTTGGCAATACTCATTGTGCCAGTCATTAGCTTTCTATACAGTGAGCAGCAGAACCTAGATGAACCCCAGGACCTAGACGAACCCCTGGTGTTTTGGTAACAAGACCATCCTTGCAGCTGGGATTTTAGGATCCTAGCTGGGATTTCTGGGAACTCAGCAGCTGCTGAGAATGCTTTTGTCTCAGGGAATCTCTCTTCTTTCCCCTTCATGGCATCAGCTGATTGCAATGCTTAGTCAGTGCAAGGTAAAGCAGTATCTGGGAGTTGATGGATCCAAGATTGAGTAAGTGAAACTGATGTGCACACCAGGAATCTTCAGCCTCTGCCTTTTGGGCTTGTGCCATTTGGACCTAGCATGAGTCATTTGTGGTACTGTTTGGTGTCAGATAAGATTTTTGAAGACATCTCTTCAGTCTCCCTTTTTTTGGGAATTAGCTTGGGAATGCTCTGTTTTAGGTTTTGTATGTTTTTTGGTTTTTAATTGTTTAAAAGGTTGTTTAAAAGGTGAAACATGAAAGTTCAAAGACATGCCAGATTTTCTGGGACTCCAGCTGGTCACATATTATCCCCATTTTTGTGCACATTTTAAACTGATGGGCAAATTACAGCAAGAAAAATTCAGGGCTCAAATGGTTAACCAGCAACTATAGAGTTAAGTAGAGGCTTCTAAAGCTCCCTAATTCTCTCTTTTCTGTCTACTTTGAATCTGCTGCTATTGAGCTACTAATATTGAGATAAAACTCACTTAATTCAAAGTTACTTGGGATATTTTGTTTTTCTTATACAGTTCAGCCAGTTCTAGTTAAAATGTAAACATTGAAAACTCTTGAAACTTAAAAAAAAGGGTAAAAGAGATTTCAAAAATTAAACTGGTATCTAAAGTGCTTTACCAAAAATTTTGGTCAACAGCTTTCATGCAATTACCTATTGAGACAAAGTTTAGCCATGTAGACAGGTTCCAATTTTTTTTTTTTTTTTTTTTGAGATGGAGTCTCATTCTGTTGCCCAGGCTGGAGTACAGTGGAGCGATCTCAGCTCACTGCCAGCTCCGCCTCCGGAGTTCACGCCATTCTCCTGCCTTAGCCTCCCGAGTAGCTGGGACTTACAGGCACCCGCCACCACTCCCGGCTAATTTTTTTTGTATTTTTAGTAGAGACAGGGTTTCACCATGCTAGCCAGGATGGTCTCAGTCTCCGGACCTTGTGATCTACCTGCCTTGGCCTCCCAAAGTGCTGGGATTACAGGCATGAGCCACCGTGCCCGGCCCCAGTTTTGTTAATGAAAAAATTTTGGATACAGCTATCTTTTATAGGCCAGTGAGTTTGTGATATACTCTGATGGCTAGAGCTCTGAGGTAAAAGCTGTTGGATCTTGGTTTGTATGTGTGTATACATATTTATATGTGCTTATGTATGTATATATATGTGTTGTGTCTAACATGTACCAAACTGGATTATAAATAAATGAGTATTCATAAATTAAGTCAGTCGAAATGCTTTTCAAGTTCAGGTACATTTAGTAATTTTTGGTAAATAAAAAATGGTTTTGAAATCATTAATGAAATAAAAATAGATATATCTTCCAAATTGTTGGCATTCATTTTTGTCTAGATATACCAATTGTGAGAAACACATATTCACCTGGCCAAACCCTTGGAGACATGAAGAACAGCAGAAGCGAGACTTTTAATGGCAGTCTTGCAAGACTGGCCGTCTGGTAGGCAGGCACACCTGGGGCAGTTACAGCAGGTAATTTATCCCCTAGCATGTAATAAGTCCCTCCCCCAGTTCCTCACTAGTCAAGTACTATGGGGTTACAATCTTCCTGGATGTTGCCTAAGTTTCATTATCCCTCTTATAAGGTTTTACCCCAGTCCCCTTCTCCACTTAAGTTTTGATTTCCCAGTAACAAAACTTTCTTCCCTTTTATGGGCTGACCTCTCCTCTACATTCTGTTTGCTTACTGACCTTCTAGGTGCGTGAGCTGTGTGGTTTGTTACATCCACAGGCTGGCTGAACGTACTTAGATTTATCACACCTTAAAAATAGACTGTTTAAAGTGTTTTCTCACACCAACTATTTTATATCTACCTTTGCTAAATATTTCAGGTTCAATAAAAACAGCTCAGGCTTCTGAATTATTGGCAAAATGCCCTTGTGTTTAAGGTTCTTAGGTGAACACCTGATGTTCACAGGCTTTATAAATGATTAACAGAGAAATAACTTTAAATGACAACTAGTTTTGTCTAGTATCTTCATTTTGCAGAAGTAATCTAGATAAACTATTAAAAATTAAAAAATTAAGTGCATAAACATAGGATAAATGCTTCCAGGTAAACTTTTTATGTAATTTTAAAATCTTAAAATTATTTTGGATGCTTATTGAATATTTGGGTCATTTCTAACTAAGAAAGGGTTACAATATGGGAAATATATTTCTAAAACTGTGGAGTGGTTTCATCTATAAAATGTTCCATCTGATAGACAGTTCAGGATTTCTTGCTTCCTAGGTTTTCACTAAAATTTAAGGTTACTAAGAATAAGAATCCTAGTTAATATATAATTCTTATATAATTCTGTAAGTTGTGTTCTTGAGAAAGAATAATTTTATATAATTTAGAAGTTATTCAAAAGTTAAAAAAAGGTAAAAAGAAAATAGGAATTAAAAGAGATGTGAGAAAAGTTATGAATATAAAAATATTTTTGGTAAGTAAGATTGTTTAAAAATAATAATTTTATCTAAAAAAGATCTTGTGTGGTAAATTTTTGTCTTAAAGTAAAATAACCGGTTATTGTTAAAAAGAAGTGTAATATAAGACAAGTAAGAAAGTAAAAAATGTTATAAATGGGCTGTGTAAGTGGTTATAAGGTACAAGAAACAGAATTTATAAGAGGAATGTTGTAAGTAATTAATTGTTTATAATTAAAAAGGAAACCACTATAATACTCTTTCTAAAAGTTAGCCCCTTGCATTAAAACAAGGGTTACTTAAGGTATTACTTGGCTTTTAGGGAAATTACAAGAGGTTTTGATTTTTAATTATATAACCAATTTCTTTTAAAAATTCTTAGATTCATATCTCAGAGGTTCAACATTGGTTGTGTCTTGTTGCTTTCAGCTTTTCCTCCCCTTGAGAAGGCTTGAGATGACAACTCTCTCCTTCAGTTTTTTCATCACTCCTGAAATTTTTTCCCTCTAGTTCCAACTGTTGTTGTGGCCTACCACTAAAATGTTTTATCTTAAAGATCTAAAAAAGCAATGTTTACCTCCAGTATAAGTTTATCTGCACTCTTGATTTTTCTTGATAAGTCTAAATTTTTCAATGTAATCAGGAAGTTCTCATGCTATTACTAAGAGTCATGTATTCGCCTGCTATACTCATAACCTTGAAAAGACTCTTCCTGTGTCTGATTAAATTCATGTACTCTTTTCAACAGCTTTGACTTTTGGGTTATCTAAATGGGCTTCCCATAAGGAGAAGCAATTACACTGCAGAAAGTTTTCTTTGCCTTTTTGGTACTTGGCTTAAAAAACGAAGATTTTACATTTTATTAATAGCAAAATAATTTCTATATTATATTCGTAGGTTTTTGATTCTTTAGGAAAACTAAAATTTAAAAGGGTTAAGGTATTTATATTCATATAACTTTGCATATTGCTTTTAAAGTCTTTTAATTATCAATCTTGGTTAAATGAACAAATAGTTTTTGTTTTGGTGAAATGTTTTGAGGCTTTAACATCTTTAATAAATATTCTTGAAATCAAAATCCTAAGTCTCTGACTTATTGCTGGGGACTTAACAAAGCTATAAAAATGAATGACTACAAGGTTGTAGAATCTTTTTGTAACTCTTAAATCAGGTCATAAACTCCAATATCACCACCTCAAGCTCCTTGAAAAGGTCCTAAGTGCTATTAACTAATACTTGTGCCGTTAAGTTACAGGGTTTTGACTCCTGGATATACATATCCATGAACTGCTGCTAAATCTTAAACGTTGATGCCAGTATCTGACACCAAACTTAAGTTAACCAAAGGCTGGACTTTAGACCTGGAGAAGGTGACAATCAAAATATTTAACTGCTTTCATGAAACATGTGGACAGGCCCTAATACAAAGACACTAAGACTCCTTTAATAATTTTGCTTCTAGATCCTTGATGCTAAATGTATTAGTCCGTTCGCATGCTGCTACTAAAGACATACTTGAAACTAGGTAATTTGTAAAGGAAAGAGGTTTAATTGACTCACAGTTCAGCATGGCTGGAGAGTCCTCAGGAAACACAATCATGGCAGAAGGGGGAGCAAAGACGTTCTTCTTCACATGGTGGAAGGAAGGAGAAGTGCAATGCAAAGGGGGAAAAGCCCCTCATAAAACTATCAGATCATGTGAGAACTCACTATTATGAGAACAGCATGAGGGTAAAAACCCCCATGATTAAATTACCTCCCACCACGTCCCTCCCATGACACATGGGGATTATGGGAACTACAATTTAAGATGAGATTTGGGTGGGGACACACCCAATCTATATCACTAAATAATTTGAAGGTTTAACTATGTGTGAGCTTCCTTTTCTGTCATTATCAAGACTTGAAAAAGGCTTATGACCTTTTTGTTTAAAACATTGCTAATCCTTAATATTTTGTTTTCCAAAGTCAAGAAAACTTTTTTTTTCCTCTTGAGCTATTTACAGCTATACAGAAATTGGGTACTACAACAACAAAAAATATCTCTCTGCCTAATATCTCCAAAATTTGAAAATTGTGCAATCCTACTGAGTCAATATGTTTTGGCTTGCCTATGCACTGCTACTAAAGCTATATAATGTCAAGTACCTTCCCTCTAAGCCCAAGGACTATTGTAGAAGAGGTGGATGCATGAGATTATAAAAGTGAATTTTGTGGGATAAAATTTGTTCAGACCTTCCAAATCAAAGATGGGTATACAGATGCTTAAACAGCAGCTCAATATGTAGAACTTATAAATTATTCAATTTTGTAAACTTGCATTTTTGCTTTTAGTTTTTAACTCTTATGTTGCCTAAAAGGTTTTAAGAGTTAATGAGTGCCTTCCCACCTCCATTCCTGCCTGGTCTGGAATGATTAATTGGCTATAAGTCTTCTGGTTCTAAGTCCTTTGGCCATAGGAGTCCCACTGAGGGACATGATGGACCAGGACAGGTAGCCGCACCACTCTGGCAATGATATGGGACAAAATAAAACCTTGGCCATTGATGTTGTCTCTGGCATATCTTGCCCAAAGAAGGAGGAATATAAACAACAACAACAACAACAACAAAAATCCTAAGTCCTCCACTGACTGAACAGACCAAGGAGCCAAGAGGACACCCTCCACCCCTGGCTCCAAAAAAAAAATTAAAAACCCAGTTCCCAGCCATGATGGTATAAAAGGTCAGTCATGTCTCATTATACTTCCTCCCTTTTATGGTTTAGACACAACAGCTGAGCAGCATTAATGTTAAAATACAGATCATAAGACTGACAAAACATTCTTTGTGGCAATAAGATACCAAATTATAAATAGAACCTAAGTCCATGTCAGGCAAGGGCCAAGTCATGCACCTCTACACTTAAAGAATAAACTACGTTCTAACTGCCACATGGTTTTTGTTTTTCTCCAGCAGCTAAACAAGCACTGACCTTGAGATAAACAATATTAAAATGATTTACGGTTCCACCAGATGCTAACAGATCTCCCATGCTCCCTGCCCATGTTCCACTAACCATAACTATAACTTTGAATGGACAAGAGGCTGATTTCAGTAACTTTCCCAAGATAAGAATACCACTGACCATGGACT
Source organism: Homo sapiens (assembly GCF_000001405.40). Taxonomy (NCBI): domain Eukaryota; kingdom Metazoa; phylum Chordata; class Mammalia; order Primates; family Hominidae; genus Homo; species Homo sapiens. The sequence continues at coordinate 187,923,268 of NC_000002.12, forward strand.
GGTTCTGACTAGTTTACAGAGATTGTGTATTTGTGTGCCTTTGTGTCCTGAAAAAACCTTTTGATGTATAGGACCTAGTTGTAATACTTTAAATTTTAGGTCTCCACTCCAAGATGAACATAATTCATATGTTATATATGTTTGTTCAATATGCATGTGTCAGAATCACCTTTATAAATATTCATAACTTCTATAACCTGTTGAATATGTATGTTTAACCAACCTGTCATTATATCCATACAGGAGCCCAGGTACAATTAACAGTGGGAAGCAAATTTACTGACTTTCATATTGATATGGGGACCATATATTCTCTAGTTAACTCCTGTCTATCCTCTGTTTCAAAGACTAATATTTCAAAATACTAGACCACTGCTAGTATTTCAAATTACTAGACCACTGCTAGTATTCCAAAATACTAGACCACTGCTAGTATTTTGGTATTTTCTATCAAATGGTTACAGAAATGTCACCATTTGATTACAGAAATGTCAGGAGAAATTGTGACTTTCCCCTTCCTACAACGTTTTGATTGTCATCTTGGAGACCACAATATAAGGGAAAAAGTAAAAGATTAAACATATGCTACAAAAAAAATACATTGTCAAAATATGTCCAAAACCCCATTTGACTTGAGAGAAGGTGTTGTCAGTTGCCCTGTTATAAATGTAAATGGCTTCCTGAAACAGGCACAAATTGAGTCCTTTTAACATATTTTATAGTAGGCCATTTCAAGTTTCTGCCATGGTGGGAAATCCAACTGATACAAAAAAAAAAAAAAAGCCAAATTTGTTAAGACTCCAGGCACAATACTAACTCCTGTTTATAAATTTACTTCTAATGGGAACACTCACCACAGAAATGGCCCTATATACTTTCCAACTTTGGACTGGGTCCTCCTAAGGACCCAAAAATAAAACAACAAACAAACAAACAAAACAAAGACCTGAACATAGCATGCTGCCAGGTCAAACAGTTTCAATCCAAAGTCCCCAATCAACACCCTCATTCAGCAGGAAGTAACTAGACTAGAGTAGATGCCCCTTTTCCATAGAAATGGAATAAAAAATTGACAGTGGAGAATTTGTAACTGAGGCAGTCACTCCCTTCTTAAAAGTAAATAGTCATTCTTTCACAATGCTTTACTGTGTACTTGCTTAAGAACTCCAAGAACTAACCTTGAGATAAAATCAAGGCTGTGAAATACCCACCCCTGGAAAAAAGCTGAGCATTCAATGTTCAATCCTGCTGCAATCTAGCTGATGCCAGCCAGACTACCAAATGGCCTGTTACTCAAGATAATCATTGGAACAGGACATGCTCATCTGCACTTAGCTAACTTCTGCACAGTTTCCCAAGCCCCTTCCTTTTAAAACTCCTTTGGCCAGCCAGAAAAAGGGGAGATGGTCTTTACAATGCAAGTTCAACATCTCCTTAAGTTGTTAGCTCCAGAATAAACCTGCTTTTCCTCACACCATCCCTTGTTTCTGGAGTTTTGGCTTCTGAGTGAAGAGCAGCTGAACCCGAGTTTGGTTATAGTAGTGCAGTCTACGACCTCCTATTCCTCCATCCTGCTGACACCACTTCACATTATTTCCTGAAATTTGTATTCTTAAAAGTGATATAGACAAGGTTTAGTCAGATGTGAGAAGGCCCTTATTTCTTTTGGACCATGGATTTTTAGGAGACTTAGAAAGTGTGCAAAACCATGAAGTGCAAATGCATAGCAAAAGGCAGCGGAAATTTGTACTTTGGTCTTCATCTAAGTATTTCCGTAGACAAGCATCATAAACCATGGGCTATTGTAAACATCCTAAATCAGCGACAGTTTACTCCATGGCACTTATGTGAAAAATAAAATGATTAAATAGATTGCTTCCTAATACTTGAATTAAGTTTCAGGTTTTGATTTTTTTTTTTTTTTTTTTTTTTTCAGACAGAGTCTTACTCTGTCACCCAGGCTGGAGTGCAGTGGCGCTATTTCGGCTCACTGCAACCTTCGCCTCCAGGTTCAAGCAATTCCCCCACCTCAGCCTCCCAAATAACTGGAATTACAGACGCACGCCACCACGCCTGGCTAATTTTTTGTATTTTCAGTACAGACAGGATCTCACCATATTGGCCAGGCTGGTCTCGAACTCCTGACCTCAAGTGATCCGCCCACCTTGGCCTCCCAAAGTGCTGAGATTACGGGCGTGAGCCACCGCGCCTAGCCACATGTTTTGATTTTATATTTATTTTCAATTTGTCATATCATTCTGCCTGCATAAAATTTTCCCTGCTTTGTTAGATGTCTTATTTTCCTTCAGATACTTTCTGTTATCAGGTATACTGTCTTGAATTTGGTCGGGGCCCAACTGATGCTTTTGTTTATTAACTGGATCCCCAAAGAGCCAGAAATCAAGATGTCTGATATTTTAATGCTTTTTTCAGTTTATATAAATATTTCTTTTGTTTGTTTTTCTTTGTTAGGATTGTCTTTTTGTTTTGTCTTTCCTTTTTAAAATTCTGCTGCTTTTTTCTTTCCTTTCTTTTATAGATTTCTAAAGAAAACATAAATTGGCAGTCTGCATATCTCATTTAAGCCACTTTATTTTTCAATTAGTATTTGAAATTTTTATATCCTTTTGGGTAAGAAACATGGCTTTTAACCAAAATATTTTGCTAGGAATGTGTGTGTGTGTGTGTGTGTGTGTGTTAATTGAACAAGAAAAGAGAATAATAACATGTGCAGAAGCCTTCAGAGAAGAATCCCATGGCTCAGAAATTATTCTTGCTTGTAGTTTAATATTTCTATTAGAGATAGAAATGTACCTCTAAGATAATAATTTTTAAGCAAGTTAAGGAGTGATTATGATTAGAAGTGACTATTTAATCAGCCTCAAATGTGTTTTATTAATCTTGTGAAATTTAGTGTCATTGGTATTAAAATAATCAAATTAAAGTTTAGCCTAGAAAAATAAATTATTTCCCACTTGTTTTTACCAAAGCCTTTGTGGTGAAGAGAAAGAAACAAAAAAGAATGTTTCCTAATATACTGAAACTTTAACCCAAGATTATTAGAGACTTAAATTAATTTAAGGTTAAAGGCACTTAGAGGTCATGTGGTCTGGTTCCCAATTAGTCTAAGAACAGGTGTATGAAGGGTGGCTGCAACTAAGAACTACTAATCTACTAATTATTAGAACTTTCTACTGTATAGCAGGATGTGAAGTAATACTTAGTTTTGGCAATTTTCTTGTTAATTATCAAATTCATTTTTGCCTGGGGGACAAATAGTTTTTAAAAGATTCTTACTTTGGAAAATTTGAGATTGTTCTTTAGCTCCTTAAATGGAATTCATATTTACAACACTGATGGCTATTTAAACAACAATTTAGACTTTTTGCTTTTGCATATTTACATTATTATATATACATGAATATGTATATATGTATGCACACATATTCACACACATACAAAATATATACACACAATGTTTAGACAGATAATTATTCATGTTCCCCAAATTTTTTCCAAAAATTTGATCTGCTTATTCTTAACAAAAGGATGTTGAAATTTCCACAAATAGTTGGCGTATTTGCCAGCTTCTCTTTGAATAACTTGCAGAATTCCTTCTCTATTTGCTTCAGAATGATGCTGTTTCATACCTTATAATCCTGTTCATCATATCTTCTTAAATTATTCATTTTGATTAATTTTTAATAATACTCTGTCCACTAAACATATTAATTTCGAATTTCTGCATTTGTTGGTAGTGATATCGCATTTGGTTTTTTCAAAATATCCTCGGTCAAGTATATCTGTCTCTCTCCCTTTATTTGCAGACTTTTCTATATTATTTGTATTTTTTGCAATCATTTCATGTATGTTCAGATTGTAAAATAGCCCTAAAGTCTCTGTATTTCAATAGGTATTAACCCACAGTCCTTATGATTACTGAATTCTACCATATTGACTTCCTTTATTGCATTCTTGATTTGGTTTTATTTTCATAAGCTTTGTTGAATTGATCCAGCTTTAAATTAGCATTATTTCCCTTTCCCTATCCTCTTTCTGAAATAAAATATTCTAGCTGCTATTACCTTATGTATAAAATTTATTTAGAAATTATGCATAATTTTAATTGATATTATCATAGACTGTATCTCAACTTGTTTTTTTTCTTTCTCTCTCTTTTTTTTTTTTTTTTTTTTGAGACAGAGTTTCACTCTTGTTGCCCAGGCTGGAGTGCAGTGGTGCAATCTTGGCTCACTACAACCTCTGCCTCCTGGGTTCAAGTGATTCTCTGCTTCAGCCTCCAAAGTAGCTGGGATTACAGGTGCCCACCACCACGCCCCGCTAATTTTTGTATTTTTAGTAGAGATGGGGTTTCACCACTTTAGCCAGGCTGCTCTCAAATTCCTGAGCTCAGGTGATCTGCCCTCCTTGGCCTCCCAAAGTACTGGGATTACAGGCATGAGCCACCACGTCCGGCCTCAGCTTGTTTTCTTATATTTTGGTTTATATTATATTAGCTTTGGTATAGTAAGCTACATTTTTTTCAGAAAGACTTTATCCCTAATAGACTTTGAGCTCTTGCATATCCAAAATAAATTTTATTTTGCCCTCATAACTGAATGCTCATTTGATTAGCTACAAAGTTCTCAATTTAACATCATTTTTCCCTCAGCACTTTGGAGGCTTTGCTTGATTGCCTTTAAATATTTTTCTGCTCAAGCTGAAGTTTGATGTCTCTTTTTTTTTTTTTGGCATGTGACATACTTTGTTCTTTGAAAATATTAACAATTCTATCTTATCTATCTTATCTATGCAGTTCTTAAATGTCACTAACATATATCTGAGTTTGAATCTGTTTTTATTCACTTTGTTCGGTTCTCAGCTGTTCATTTCAAACTTTAGACTCATTTATTTGATTGTTTGATTCCACTTACTTGTCCCTGTTCTTTTGGTTGGAGCCTGTAATGCCTGCAAGAAGGCTATTATTATTCTGGATTATTATAGTTATAAAGATAAGAAAGAATAATATATTTTGGAACATATTCACGTTAAAAAACACACTCAATAGTCTTAATATATGTGAAAACATATATTATGTATGTGTACCTATGTTGAAAACAGAGTAGACACAGCTGAATGTAGTAAGCTAGAAGACTGAGAAAGAAAAATAACATCTAGAATAATAGCAGCCATCTTGCAGGGGTTCCAGGCTGTGTATGCGTATATATATGTTGTTATATATATAGAGAGAGTATGCATGCGTATGTGCATGTGTGTGTATATAGATATTTAAATTAAATATTAAATAAAATATATAGTATATATTTATATATATTTTATATATATACATATAGCATATAATTTATACATATTATATATCTATATATAAATATATATACACAGGCACATGCACACACACATAATCCTACATACACTTTTATTCATTTATTTCTGTGATTTCTGGGAAATTTTTCTTTCTCAGTATTCTAGCTTACTATCTTCAGTTGTGTCTATTCTGTTTTCCACAAAGGTACATACACATAATAATATATGTTTTAACATATCTTAAGAATATTGAGGTTTTAAACTTGTATATTTTTCAAAATATATTATCCTTTCTTATCTTTACAACTGTAATTATTATATTAAATTCATTTATCCCTAATTAACTCTGTTTTCTCATGATTTAGTTTTGTTAATTTTGTTGCCTCCATTTTGAGGTCTGAATTTAACACAACATCTGTTGACTCTCAGCTGTCTGTTTATATTGCTTGTAGTGGTGTTAGAAAGTGTATTTTCTCAGAGCAAATAAGAATTCTTCTTGCCTTCTTGGGGACAAGCAATCTTAATTTTAGGAGACTTGCCTTGGGTTTTTCAACCCACAAAAATCTGTGGCTTTGGAGTATGGGGCTGTATGGAATATGAGGAGCTTATGATAAGGGGATATTAGCTCCACCGCTGTCTAGGGCAGTCCCTGTACCAACTCTGAATATCTCGTGGATGCAGTCTTTCTACACTTGATCTGAGCCAAAAGGCCGAGAAGCTATAGGATGGAATTTTTCTATGCACAGAGTTGAAAGCACAGCTTTGTCCTGGATGTAGTTGCAAAAACTAATATTTTCTTTTCTTCATCTTCTTCTTTACTCTTTGCTGAAACATTGAATTGACAAGTCTCTAATCTGCTTCTTTTCTGTTTGAGTATCCAGGATAACCACTGTGACTGGGCACATAATCCAATTCTTTAGGAATTCATGTTTGAGGTTTAGTGAAGGACAAAATTTTTATGATGCCAATCATTTAGTATAGATGGATGGTGGGAAAGATCTCCTGAAACAATTATTCTGGGGGCAACCCTTGTATTACAGAAATCACTTCTCCATACTTTAATGTTTTTTGTTTTTGAGACAGAGTCTCGCTCTGTCGCCCAGGCTGGAGTGCAGTGGCACCATCTCAGCTCACTGCAACCTCCGCCCCCCCGGTTCAAGTGATTCTTCTGCCTCAGCCTTCCGAGTAGCTGGGACTATAGGAAAGTGCCACCACACCCAGCTAATTGTTTTGTATTTTTAGTAGAGACAGGGTTTCACCATATTGGCCAGGCTGGTCTTGAACTCCTGACCTCGTGATCCGTCCTCCTCGGCCTCCCAAAGTGCTGGGATTACAGGTGTGAGCTACCGCACATGGCCCTTCACTCTGTTTTGTTGAATTTTTTTCCATCTAATCTTTATGGTGAGAATGCCTTTTTTTTTTTTTTTTTGGCCTTTTTCCTTTGTCTGTTTTGGGCTGAAGTTTTTCTCTTTTCTGGTCTTTGTGTGAGTGCAATTCTACATTCTGTTCTAAAGATTATAATTCCCAGTTGGTTGGATTCAAATTTCCCCAAAGCAGTAGTTCCTTATACAGCACTTTGGCCTGTCATCTCTAGACCTGACTTCAAAAGATAGGTGCTTTTGTTTTTGAAGATCCCCAAGCATTAGAAATTATCATAAAAAGAATAGTGATTCTAGGATACTAAAAGACTAGGACAGAGTTCCACTGATAACTTTCATTTTTATCTCTCCACCTTTTCATTTAGAAGTATTCTCTTTGATCCTTAACAAGTATAGATGCTTTGAAGGGTCTTGCCTTTTCTACATAGATCAGAGGAAAGCACTTCAACTCTAGAGAAGTTGCAATGAAAGGTTAGCCTTTCTTTCTTTGCTTTTTAATGTTATATTTAGAAGAGGCCACCTTTTGTGAGAAAATGTGCAATGAAAAATAAAACACTACTCCCTTCTAAGCTCATACATATTTGAAACCAGATGGCTGCCCAAATTCATAATTTCTAGCAATCCATTTACATAAGAATTTATATGACTTGGAGGTTAATCCCAGACATTGCCTCTCTTAAGGAAATGAGAAGACCAACGTCTAAATAACTTATTCTTTGAAAATATTAATTAAATAAAACAAAAGTTAAAGTCTATGATACAGACATACCTTGTTTTATTGTGCCTCTCTTTATTGTGCATCATAGATATGTTTTTTTTTTAAATGCCAATTGGAGGTTTGTGGCAACCTTGCATTAAGCAAGTCGATCAACACCATTTTTTCCAACAGCATGTGCTCATTCTGAGCCTTAAATTTTGAGACCTTATATTCTCTGTTAGCCAGAAAATTAAGAAGGACCCTACTGTGCTCCTGAGAGATTTCCTCAGTTGGGGCAGAAGGGAAACTGTCATCTACGTATTATAAAACTTTAACCTGATGATAAACGAACTCAGAGAGATCTTTTGACAACCCCTGCCCAAACAGGTGGGGGCTGTCTGAGGTAACACTATCCAGGTTAGCTGGGTGGTCTTGTTGGAGGGATCTTCAAATGCAAACAAATAATAGGAGTCAGGGTGCAATGGTATGTACAAAAAGGCAACCTTTAGGTCCAGGACTGTGAACCATTTAGTCCCCCAGATATTTGAGGCATAGGGATTGGGAACCACTGGATCAATTGGAACCACAGCCTCATTAATGAGGCAGAGGACCTGGACCAGTCTCCATTCCCTGTTGCTTTTGTAACCCCAATAGAGGGGTATTACAAGGGCTGCTGCAGGGTTTGAGGAGGCCCTGCATCTTCAAGTTATCAATGATGGCTTCTATCCCTTTCCTAACTTCTGGTTGTAGTGGATATTGTCTTGGTTAGGGAAGGAGGTAGGATACTTAAGGTGGATCTGGACCAGTGTGGTGGTTGTGGCTCAGCCAGTTTTCCCTTTAGTTGCCCAAACCTCTGGGTTAATATCAGTCTCCACTAGAAAGATGCAAACAGTCTGTCTTGGAACCATCAGGAAGGTGGTTCCCATACCAGCCACAATATCCCTGTCTGGCTGATGAGTTGGGCTTTCAGGCATGATTAAAAAGGTGACAGTAAACAAGACATCTCCCCAGTTACAACTAAGGGTTTGGAAAAATATCGGTTTAAAGACTTTCTGTAGACACCCCTCGTGGTCATGCCAAGAGAAGAGGGGGGATGGATTTCAGCGGAGAACTGAAAGGCCCTCTCTGGTGTCCAGGAGGAGGTCCACCTTCCTCCCTTCAAGTTCCTGAATCACCAGGGCTCCTGGAGGGTAATGGCAGTCTGAACCATGGGAGCTGTTGAGAGGGACCCCATGACCCATCAGTCCTGCTGGACCATTTGGAAGACTGGCTCTGGACCCAGTGATCTGCATCTCCAGGGAGAGTCCACCCTCCAGTGGTCCACATCATAAATTGGACATGGTCGAGGTGGCTTCCTCATGTTGCTTGGGCAGTCCTTCCTAATGTGTCCTGGCTTGCCATATATGTAGCAGTTAACAGGTGCATCGCAGGGATTCTGGGGTTTGTGAGCCTGCAAGGTGGCCATTAGACCCTCTGCCTTTTTGTGGTGTCTCCTCTCTCAGGATTCTTCCCAGTCCCTATTGTAAAAGACCAAGGTGGCCACTTTGAACAGGTTCTCTAAGGTACTATCTGGCCCCATGCCTGTTTCTACAGCTTCCTACTGATATCAGGGGCTGCCTGAGTAATAAATGTATCCTTTAGGATTAGTTGTCTCTTGACTGAATCAAGAGATAAAGAGGTTTGCTGTCCTAATGCTCCTCTTAGCCTTTCCAGGAAGGCAGTGGAATTTTAATCTAATCCATGGTCTATCAAAGACAGTTTGGAGTAACTGGGAGGCTTAGTTCTAGTGCTTCAAAAGCCCTCCAATATGTACACCTGAAAGTGCTTCATTTTTCATTCCCTCATTTTATCATTGGGGTCTCATTTAGGGTCCTCCAGTGATACTTCTATTCTTCCAATTGGATGAGGCTCATCCTCTTCCCTGGCACTATATAAGATACAAAGCTTATCCCCAAAATTCTCTACCACTTGCAGGGCGGCCTGCTTTTCAGCAGTAGTCAGGGTTTGATTCAAAAGTAACATAACATCCTTCCAGGAGAGTTCAAATACTTGGGTTAAATTCTGGAAAGCCACTGTATACCTGTCAGAGTCGTCGGCAAACTTGCAAAAGATTCCCCTTGATTTGCCTTAAGTCCTATAGAGAAAACGGAACCTGAATCCTAATGGGGCCGGATTCACCTGGCATCTGTTGTAGGGGCAGGAGTGAGACTGGGACCTGCCTACAATGAAGATTTCTAGGATGGGGCAAGCTTGAGAAAGAATCTGGATATGGAGGATGGGGTGGACCAGAAGGGGCAGGACTGGAGGGGTTGACTCCCCTACTGAAGGTACCTCTAGGGTTTGCTTCCCTAGTCCCTTGGGATTGCTCTTTGCAGCCTCTCCTGGGATGGCTGCTAGGACTGAATCAATTCAATAACATCAGCAAAGGTCTGGATTACCCTGCAAGGCAAAGAAAGTCAGCAAGTATGGAACCTTGGACCATTTGCCCTCATGTTTACAGAAAAGGTCCAGCTGCAGGATGGTATTAAAATTAATGCTTCCTTCCTGAGGCCAAGCTTCTCCTCCCTGCAGAACATAATCCAGCCATGCCTTTGAGCAAAGGAATATGATGCACTTTTTCTCCAGAGTCTGAGGGTCAGAGAAGTTCCAGTGATTCAGGATGCATTCAGGAGGAGTAAAGGCTGAAAATGATTGGTAACCCAACTGGAAGAGAGGGGAAAAGGCATCCCTTAGTTCCTCTCTCTTCCAGTGAAAACCCAGGGTTTGTGAGAAGAGAAAAAAAGGTCCCCTATTTTCTTTCCTTTCCTTCCCAAGTCCTGGCATCCACGAAAGGCTCCACCCATATAGCAGGGAGGCCTAGTGGGTAGGGATATTCTCACTTACCTATGCTGCCCTATCCTCACACTGTTGGTAACCTGTGGGTTCCCTAGTCCTTGTCTATGCCATGGATGTGAGCGAGTTCTCCACCCATGAAGTGGGAAGACCTAATTGGCAGGGATAGTCATATTCACCTGCATTGTGCCTTGGTCTTCCACTGTAACTACCTTTGGGTGCCTCAGATCTAGTTTTCCTTTTTAGGGCTTCAAACCAAAGCTTGGAATCAAATTTAGGACAAAAAGGTGCCTCAGGAGGGTGTATGGACCCATTAAATTAGTCCCATGTCGCCCTCACAAAATTGCAGTCAGCAACCATCAGGGCAGCTTCTCCACTGCTTCCCTATCATAAGCAGAATGCTAACATGAAGCTGTGGAACCAGGTTCTCCTCAAATAAGGGAGAAAGAGGGAGTCTCAGGAATTGGGGACCTGGCCTAATAAGATGCCTCCCGAAAGGAAAAAAAAATCAATCTTTGCATGGAAAAAATCCTGGTATTTTCAGGATTATGTTGGCTCCTGCCATGGTGGAAAACAAAAATAAAAACAAAAAAAACTTAAATTCAGGGGACAGAGGGGTGCCTGGGGGAAGTAGCCTCTTGCCCCATGCTAATAAATTTCTTCAAGAGAGGAAAGAAAGCTTTCAATCATTACATCCTTCTTGCTTCTAAGAATAGATAGAAACCACACTGTTCTGGATTACACTCCTGATGACTATACTATCTCTCTGGTTTGCAACAACACCCTTAACATTGTATATTAAAAAAAGATAGGAGCCATGACAGCCACGAAAGAAAGATAATGTGACAGGAAAGAATGCAAGTCCTAGCGCTCACACCCTACTGGGCTGTTGGAGACTGCAGCTGGTCTTGGGGCTTTCAGGCAACACCAACGTGTGGCCTCAGCTAGATGCCATCAGTTGCCCCAGGACCTTACTCCAATCTGACGCTATGGCTAGACATCCGTGAATGGAAACTGGATTGGAAAAAAGCCAACATTCCCAACACCTGAGAGTGATGGGGGATTAACAGTGTCCTCCTGGGCAAGCCTGTCCTCCCTGTCTTCAGTCCAGCAGCCACGCTAGTCAGTGTTATCTGGCCAACAGAGGCCGATGTTTTTCTTTCATTCTGGTTATTGTGGACTTTCGGGACTCTGAAAAGAAGGACAGAAAGCAGCAAGTTCACTTTTATTCAGTCTTCTGCAGATCCCAGATGAGGCCCCAGAAATGTCACAGGATCCTTTAGGTGTCACTTTGCCAGCCAGAAACCTTTGTGACCGGTGGCACCTCTGCTTGAGTTTCATTCACACCCACTGGGCTCATTCCACCCACTTGGCTCAGCAGGCTGTGCTTGGCTCATGCTACTGACTTGGATCCTATGCCCACCGAGCGCAAGCCAGGCATGGAGTGATGAAGGGTGTGTGAGCAAGTGAGTGTGTTGTCCAGCCACTGTGCATAGCCAAGTGAGCTGGCTGCTGTGGTGGGGTGGACAGCTCCAGGTGCCATCACAGGTGCTGGCTCCATGCGAGGCTGTGGCTGAACCAGGCATACCATAAACAGCTTCCAATGCAGGTGCTGGAGTGTGGATGAGGAACATGACATCACCTGAAAACTCAGAGATGTCAGCAACTGCAGAGCTCCAAGGGGTGGGGGGGTGCACGCTACAACTCTCTCAATCCTGTTGCCAGCAGCTCAGCAAGTGGGGGTGGAGTGGCATGTTTCAGCTCATTCAGTCCTGCTGCCTTGCTCCGGCTTAGTTTCCAGGCTGGCCTGGCCCCGCTGCCACTTCCCATCACATGGGGAAGCCACTCGATGCCAGCGGTGGGCAGGGGGGCTATAGTGTTACAGCTCTGGCTCAGGAAATCCTGAGAAGGGCTGCCACTCTTCACTCCTGCTGTCTGGCAAACAGGAGTGTGTCACAGTTCACAGCTTGGCAAGCCAGCCAAAAACATGTTACAGCCCTTTCCGTGCCTGCCACTCAGTGAGCCCTGACTTCTTGTCTCACATCCGGGAAGAATGAGGTTAAATGGACAACTGGAGAGTGAGCAAGATGGAGAAGAGTTTTATTAAGCAGCAAAACAGCTCTTAGTAGGGAGGAGACCCAAGTGGGTGGCTCCCACCTGCAGATGCGGAGTCCTGATGTGTAGCTGAGTCCCAGGTGTTTATGGACTCAGAATGAAGGAAGTGCATCCTGATTGATCAATGGGAGGGCCTGGAAAAAGCACCATTTAATTGGTGGAAAGGCAAAAATCTCACTCCAGGTGGTGGATTTCACCTGGAACTGAGAGCGTGGTTTTCGGGCTTCAGGTTCTTTGGTTTGAAGGTTCAGTTTCACCAGGGACCCGCCCCAATCTACCTAGGAATTTGTCTGCCTCCTGCCCCTATCATATATGTATGTATACCCACATGCACATATGCACCCACATTTCACCACAGAACTAAATTAAAAGTTTATAACATATGGCGTTTGTAAATATAAAATAATTTAAACTGAAAAATGAAATCACCTTGATCAAAGTAATAATGGGTGAGAAATTACCTGAAATTATTTCATCAACTATTTTTAAATATTTGTAGTTATGAGGACAATATGGCCACAAGTACAGTAAATGATTAAAATAACTCTTAATATAAGACCAGGCTGTTTGAATGGCACAGCATATTTTTCTAAAAAGACTTAATTAAACCTGAATGAGTGCCATGTTCTTTAACCTAAACTAAAATTCATTTTTGGAATAATTATCAAGACATAACAGCTGGTATGAGAATCTGCTAAGCCAACAACCACATCTTAACATGGCCAATTACTTGTCTTTAGTGTCACTAAGGATAAGGTGTTCAGATTCCCCATTGACTAAAGAGGTGCCTTTAAAATTGTAAACATGTCTGAGGAACGTAATTTGAGGAACTGAAACTAAAGGAAATGGAAACCCTAACTCGACCAAATGAAGGGAATAACATTGTCTTAACAATTCCTTTGAGAAACAGTTGGCCTAAGCACTACAGAAACATATTCACAATTTCTTGAACTTCCTTGAAAACCTAATATATAAACTAATGATAAATATCAAATCTTCATTAGCTGATATCTAAATCAGTTAATTACCTACTATATATGAGTAAAAGTAATTGGTATTAATATATTATTCGAAAAGTATTTGTTGAGCCCATTACATGCTCAGTGCTGAGGGAGACAAAAACAGTACTGTGCACAGCACATACCATGGTTTCTGCCCTCAGTCAGCTAGAAGTCAAATAAGAAAATAAAACATTTATAAAACAGAAAATGGTATTCTTATTTTAAAAAGGCAAACAACACTTACCAACAATTAGATTCAAAGTTGGCAATTAGGCTGTAAAACAGGCAACCTCATATAATCATTTAAAAAACATAGCAATATGTTAAAAGAGTTAGAAATAGCTCATTATTTTTGACCCAGTAATTCCACTTCTATGAATTTATTTCAAGGAAATTATCAGATGTGGCTCAAAGATTTATGCTGTAAGAGGTTTCCTATAGTTTTAATAGTTTTATGTATAATAATTTAAAACTGAAGCATTCCAAATGTCAAAAAAATAGATTGGTTAAATAAACACAGGGCAATATTAAGAATACGAACCTTCTCTCAGTAATCTGGAATAGGCTCCTTCCCTCCCTGCACCCCCTAACAAAGACTGCTACTAATTATACAATTATCTTAGAAAACAACTAAAGCTTCTATAGCATCCACTTCCACTGCTGAATTCTTTAAATTTAGCATCAAAAACACTTTACTCATATTTTGTACTTCTGATTTCTTTTACCAAAATTGATGCTAGTATCCCAGAAAAAAATCAGAAGAGATCTCCCCAATTTCTTCACATTGGCCATGGTAGTTATGGTATTTTGTTTGGGGTGAGGTCTTTATAGGTTACAGCAAGGTTTTTATGTTCCAAAACTTTAATATAATTGCCTACATATTTATCAAGCTACCTTTAATAAGCCATATCACTTGAATCTACTTATACGTTCTGAGTTTAATTTCTTGTGACACTACCAGTGCCATACTGGTATATTGGCAACAATTTATATAACATCTGGATGTCATAGCTTATGTGATATGTATGTAGCTATGCAAAATGTTAATTAGTCGACATATGCAGCTAGTTGAGTTTTCTATTGCAAGGCTTAGATAGGCCTAAATAAATCAGGTCTGGCCACGGTCTACCACAATTGAAACAGTAAAGGAATGAATAGGAAGGGCTGTGAGTGTACTCAACAGGCAGAAGGGATCTATATCACTAAATAAAGAGCCAAGAATCAAAAGTCATCTTTTCCTAGCTCTGAGAGGAAGATGGAGAGCTAATGTTTACCCATCTTTTAATGGAATATATTCATTAAAAGTAATGTGTTAAAAAACTAAAGTAAATTTTTTCTTGGGTACTATCCATATATAGAGGTAGGTGTGTGTGTGTGTGTGTGTGTGTGTGTGTGTGTGTGTGTGTGTGGTATAAAGACAGACATAGAGATAGATATAAGAGAATGAGATTTAAATGAACTGTAACACAACCATTTTACTGTTAAAAGCTAGAAGGAAAGAAAGACGTCCACTTATGCACAAGAAACCAACATGGCTGGAAAAATTGATAAGAGAATTACACAGTGGAAACTGTGGCAAATGTTTGTTAGTAAAGCATGAGAAAATTTAAAGAATCAATGACTTGGTCTGTGAAAATTACAGTGTTTCAACACAGGTAAGTGTGATATCTGGCAAGTTATGTCTTCTGCAGCTTGCACCTGCCTGCCTGGCATGACTGTCAAACTAGCAGTGGCTGATGCCACCAGGCTACCAACTCTGCACTGTTATCAGCAGAAGCAGGTGGTCTGAGTGTACCTTTATTTCCTTAGAACTTCCAGAGATTTGGGCCTTGGCAGCCCTGTAAAAGAAAATTAAAGAGAATGCTCTCTTGTGCTTCATTTGGGGGCCTGATTGAATTTCCTCTGGAGTTTTTCTCTACTTCACAATAGAGGACAGCATTGTGGGAATGGTTGTGGTTATTGCAGTGGGCACAGTAGCAATCATTCAGGCATTGACTTAGGGAAGCTAACTACACTAGAGATCATATGGCTACAAAGTGATATCACTAGCACGAATGCCAGTGGGGCTGGGGTTCCTATCTAAACTAGAAAAATCCAAAGTCTCTAAAAATAATTGTGTGAATACATGTATGTGTGTCTTGGCATTCTTGGAATATAAAAACTACAGAGCACCATAAAAAAGATGGAACAGCCTGCTGAAATCACAAATGAAAATCTGACATTTGTAATCTGGAATGATTGCCTTTATCATACTCTTAGTTATCCTATGCTGGCTCCATGCAAACTGTGTACATGACTATCTTTCCCATTAGACAGTGGTTCCTTGAGGGGGATTACTAAGTTTTATTCATATTTGTACTTCTGGTATATGAACACATTATATTTATTCAATGCTTCTTTCTTCAAAGAATAGATTTTCAGTGAGGCCCAGAACTGAAGTGCTTTCAGTAGCCAGGTAGATAATATACATGTATGAAAAGTTCTGTTGTATGAACAACTGGAATGGAATAGTGAGAACTAGTGTCAACATAGAGAGGGTATGCCATATCCATTATTATGTAATAAACCACTCCAAAATTTAGTAGAATAAATAATTACTTTAATAAATGATGATTCTGTGGATTGTTGGTTTGTTTTGGGCTCAGATGGGTGGTTCTTCCATTGGTATGCTCTGAGTTTATGTGTGCAGCTTCAGTTGCCTGGCAGGTAATTAAAGGCTGATTGTTTTGGGATGGCCTCACACACATGACCAATGTTTGTTCATGATGGATGTTTGCCACTTGAACAGCCAGACGTGTGTGAGGCCATCCTGAAACAATCAGCCTCAGTCACCTGCCAGAATAATGGTTCCCTAGATACTCAGCTAATCTCAACTTCTTCAAATGACAGCTGGTTTCCAAAAGCATCAATAATGATCAAAGATGTGGCAAACATCTCCTTCACTTATTTTGCTAGCATTCCATTTGCTAAAGCAAGTAGACTCAAAATCTTATGGAAGAAACTGCAAATTTTGAGATAATTTTTTCATTCTCCCACAAAAGAAACTAAAATGTTTTTAATGTTTTAGAAATAAAAACACCCTTATATCCAAAAATAACAAAATCCTACAAGAGTGACCATATTCAGCTTCTGGCACTGGCTCAATACCTCTTCTCAAAGTGATGATAATTTTTTGAAGAACCATCCAAGTAAAAAATTTTTTTCTCAGTACAACTTAAATTTATCTCTTGCTATACAGTGAATTGTGAATGCATCATTTTCCTGGCCTTTTAGTGTTTCAGTAATTAAGTCCCTTTAGATGGCACTTAACATGCGTGTATCTTACTGTGAATTCTTTTTTATGGGGGATATTAGAAAAGTGTTCCCTTCGCAGTGTCATGTGCTCACTGGTTACAGAAAATGTGACTCCTGGACTTCTACCCACAGTTATTCTCCAATGTCTAATGTCTGCCTTGTAAAAATGCAAAACTAAAATTATTATAATTTATCTTAATTACTGTTAATAATTTACAGTTTTTCCATCCAGGAAAAACACTTTCTCAGTCACAAGCAGATGTAAACCTGGTAGAATGAATGACAGATCAAATAATTAGGTATCTTTCTGTATCTCTCTCTCTTTCTATCTCTTTCTATACATATGTAAATATATCTTAAATATTATTTATATTTATTAAATATTAACAAATATTAAATATTTGTATATAATGTTAATATATTATATATGTTCATATTTGCATTATACATACATATACATGTATAATAATCTGTTTGCAATTTCAAGGAATAATACCAAATATTTCTATATGATTTAACATGTTCTATCATTTCTCATTTTAATTGACCATTATAATAATCTCATTTTATACCACTGTTAGAAAACTCTCTTGTCATTTCAAAACTTGCATCAAAGAGACAGGGCTGCAAATGACAAAGAATAGATTCAATAATATATATTTTCTTTTACTTATTGAATACAGTTCTATATAGTATAGTATTTCCATGTAAGATTTAATTAAAATGGACACCATAGGGATGTTAAACAGATTATCAAAATGAAAGTATGACCAACTTTTCAAATTTTTGGCCCATGCAGTACAACATATGTTTCTTAACATTCAAGACATGTAGACCCCCTGGAGAAAACACCTGTGAATTTCCCACAATCTATAAATCCCAGTTTTTGAAACACTGCAGGATATCATTATCACAAGAAAAAAAACATGCAACAAATAAAAAGCCCTATTGCACAATGGAACATTAAATAATTGCTCTCTTTTTGAAAAGGACCCATGAAAAATAAGTTTAAAGAGCAATCCAAGGATCAAAAAAAGTAGCATTAATATCTTTAAGTCTCCAGGTAACTGAGGTAAGAGAGGCTACAAATTTTAGGAATATTTGATGCCGCCTTAAATAGAGTTCAGGGATAATTCAACTAAACAGAAACAGTCCTTGTCTGTGCTATGTCCCTAAGGAAGGCTGCTTACTAAGGACCAAGATGTAAAATGCTAAGGACCAAGATGGTAATTGTAGAGTCAGCTACATCCTCCTGGCATGGTTAATTTTGATGATACAATATATTTATTTCACACCAAAACCTAAGGTCAACTTTCTAACTCATTTTTTTTTGTAAAAAAGTTAAAACATGAAGAAAAGTTTCTTCTAAAGAATGATCTAAGTACTATTATGTTAAAAAAGCTTATGAAAGAGACCACTATAATTGTGATATAATGAAAACTGACTTTCATAGCGCTTCTGTCCTTGCACTAAATTTACATTTTCTTTTGTCATCATGGCTCTGTTTTTTTTTTCCATATACATGTTTATCCATGTATTAATATTTTATCTTTGTGTTTGTCTGGATACCCTAAGCATAGAATTTTTAATATCATTGTGTTCAGTAATTCACAAATCATCTTTAAAAGGTAAGAGACTTTCTGACTCAAATACAAAGGTTTAATTAATAGAATGTGTGTGTGTTTGTGTTTGGTGGTGTGGTGTGCTTTCCCTGTACATAGGGAATACTGTACACGCTTCACAGTGAGAGAATTTTTAGAGATACTATTTAGTATGCTCCTTGGCAAACAAAGCCAATGCACGTTGTCTACAAAATACTCATTACAAAATATCTCCTATAGTTACACTTTGGAAAAACAGGCATTTACAGACCTTTCTGGCTTTGATGTGGAAAAATACACTTACATGCTGTGTGTTGCCCATAAAACTTCCCACATTACTCAACAGTTTCTGCTATATAATTGACCAAATCTTTCATTTTCAAATAGTATCCATCTGAGCTACCAGTGTAAATGTATTCACTCGCCAACCAGGAAGGCCTTGCTTAGATGTTGCTATTAAATAGTTTTAGATCCACTACATATTGATAACACACACACCAAAGATACATACAAACTCAATTTCTCAGAAAACTTTGAAAACTCCTTTTAGTTCCCTCCTTTACCTTTTAGTTCTCCCTACCTCCTTTTAGTTCCCGCCTTCTTTGGAAAAGATATTTGAGAAAGGGACGGGTGTCCTCATGGAAGCAGGCCATTAAAGGATACACTGCTAACTGGATAACAGGCAGACATTGAAAATGGCATGTGCAAGCTCAGACCAAGACAAAACTGAGGGTATCCAAGCTTACCTTGTAGCATAATGATAGGGTTTGCTGCTCTGGAATCCAGAAGAAGTGACTTTCCCTCAACAAAACACTAGCTGTTGAATCCCAAGCAATTTGTTTAAATTATGTTAAACATACATTCCCTCATCCATAATGGATGAACAATAACATAGTCCACCTAATTGTTCTTGGAAGGATTTAGTTCTGGTACACGGTAATTGTCCATAAGGGTAAGATAAGAGGATAAGAACAAAATAGTAAAATATAAGTATTCACAATCTGTCCCCTTCCCATACCTTCAAAGGTGAGACAGAGAGAGAGAGACACACACACAGAGAAAGAGAGACAGAGAGAGAGAGAGAGAGAAAGAGAGAGAGATTTTGATCCTTTTTTATGCTGATTAGGAAGAAAGGAGAGAAAGAACAGTACACAGCCAAGAAAAGGAAAGTTGATTTATGTAAGAAAAACAAGGAGCTGTCCAAGAAAAAAACACAATAGGAACTATAGTGAAGGTGAGAGGAGCTGAGTGAAAGAAAGGTATAGACAGTGGATCTGTAACCTATTGTGGAACTTTCTAGGAAGTTGTCTCATCTCAGGATGCGTTCTACAAAAAGCTGACCTTGAGAATGAAATTAGTTCACTATAGGTTTATTAAGGAGTGCTCTGGGGATCAATACCTATGGAAGGGAAAAAAAGGAAGCATGACTGGGCATAGGGAAAATCTGAGTTGCAAAAGAGTTGCAACAGAAGACTCAGCCAACCCTCTTGGGAATTCTGAAACTGGAATGAGCCATCTGAGTTGTCCTGAGTTGGGGTGATAAGGCCAGGCCTTTCTAGTACTAGTTGAGCAGTAATTGGATGCTGGCTACCCTGGGAAGGGAACATGATGTTAGACAGGATTCTTGCTTAAACCAAGGCCATCCCAGATGTGGACTGTTCTCTTAGTGCTTCAATGCCAGCATCCCTAGCAGCTGTGCACAGTCCTCTACAGAAGCAAGGCAGTGAGAGAATATTTAAGCTAATGAGAATATTGAAGAGAAAGATAAATATTTAGAAATAGAGGGAAACTTCAGTAAAGTTCATAATCCACCCCCTCTCCCTGCCAACCCCTCCAAAGATTACACTGAGGATTTAGGTTTCTTTTCATGGCTTAAAAAAAATCACTGCCACTTTATTCATGACCTATTGAATAAGCACCATGACTGGATTATCAAATGTTTTTGACCATCCTCTACCCAGAGTCTAAGAATCCTTGATTTCAATGTAAACACATCAGTATACAGTTACATATGTTGTATGTGTGTTGTATGTAGCCACACTTTAATTACCTTTATTTTAATATCCCATTACCTCTAAATAAATTTGTACATTTAACACACATCCAAAGGCCTATCCAAATTTTGTAAACATATCTGAAACAAAGCTATAGAGAGGCAACTACGGAGAGAGGTTTAGGACAGAAACTCTAGATCTAGATTTCCTGTGTCACAGTCACAGACGTATTACATGACTGACTTACAGCATGACTTTAAGAAAATTTCTTTTTTTGCCTTTATTTTCTTATCAGTAATACGGAGTAAGCAGTACTACTCATTTCATAGAGTTGTAATAGAAATTAAATAAGTGAATATATTTAGACACATGGCTAAAGTGCTATTGAAGTATTTGTTACTATTACTCTCGCCCTACAAAAGACCTGAGCTTGTATACAGTGGCTGCGTTTCTTGCTGAAACTTCAGCTCCTTCTCACAAGTTTCAAAATCAGTCTCTAATACCACTTTTCTCAGCTGGTAACTTGACAAATGATGAAGTGAATCTATGCCTTATTTTTTCCAAATCTGCAAATAGCTACTAAATTTGAATTTTAACTTTTTCTTCGACTTCCATATGCTAATTTATCACAACCTAACTTGCATAGGGTAAATTCCCTAATATACACATGGCTCTCCTGCCCAAAACTTTTCAATGGTTGTCAGGGTGCTATAGAATGAAACCCAAACTGCTCTATTTTAATATTCAAAGTCTTTCCAATCATTTCTTGATCTAGATTTTTAGCCTCATGTATCCGCTTTCTACTTTCACTTAGCTTACACATTAGAGCCAAAGAGGCTACTTTCTTCCCGTATACCATTTCCTTGCTGCTCTTCTTTTGTTTTTCTCTTCCCAATCTTTGTCTCATATGTTTTCAGGGCCCAAATTCTGTCTTTTTTTTTTTTTTTTTTGAGATGGAGTCTCGCTCTGTTGCCCTGGCTGGAGTGCAGTGGCACGATCTCGGCTCACTGCAAGCTCTGCCTGCCGGGTTCACGCCAGTCTCCCGCCTCAGCCTCCCAAGTAGCTGGGACTACAATTGCCCGCCACCACACCTGGCTAATTTTGTGTGTGTGTTTTTTTAGTGAAGATGGGGTTTCACCGTGTTAGCCAGGATGGTCTCAATCTCCTGACGTGGTGATCCGCCCGCCTCAGCCTCCCAAAGTGCTCGGATTACAGGCGTAAGCCACTGCGCCCAGCCAATTCTGTCTATTCTTGATAATCCAGTTCAAATAACTGGATTTGGATGCTTGAATCCTTCCAATTTTCTGACAGGCAAAGCTCATCTTGCTCACCTCTAAAATCAGCAAATGAAATAAAACATTTTAATGGCAGATATTATCTTCTACCTGGTATTGTGATCATAAGCATGTCAGAGTTTCTTTACTGAATTTGGAAGGTTCCTAAGGATATCTCTCTTTAGTACAATGCCTTCATAAGTCAGGTGGCTAATAAAATCTTTTGAATACTAAAGTGGAGAGTAAGGAAGTACAAAACTGCAGAATAGACATAGGGTTTCCTTTGCCCTTCTTGCTTCCCCCATCAGCCCACTACCTATCAAATGTTTGACTTGGAATTCTGCTTGAAACTCAGGTTTCCTTTGTTCTCCCAAGTAGCCATCCTCTCCCCACTTGCTCAAATCCAACCAAAACCTCTATTCTCTAATATCCATGTACCATACTATCTTTTTAAAATAAATATCTCTGAGGCATCAATATGGGCAATAGAAAAGCTTAGTGTTCCAGGATGGTTAATTTTAGCTGTCAACTATACTAGGCCGGAGGGTATGCATACATTTGGTTAAACATTATTCTCAGTGTGTCTGTGAGGGTGTTTCTCAACAAGATGAACATTTGAATCAGTAGACTGAGTAAAGCAGATTGAGCTAAGATGGCGGGGGTGGGGGACTCATCCAATCAGTTGAAGCCCTGAATGGGAAAGAAAACTGACCTTCTGAGAATAAGAGGGAACTCCTATTCCCTGACTGCCTTAAACTGGGGATCAATCTTTCCCTGCCCTTGGACTTGAACTGAAACATGAGCTCCTCTTGGGTGTTGAGCCTGCCAGCTTTTGGACTGGAACTATGCTAGCAGCTCCCCTGGCTCTCAGGCCTTCAATGTGTAGACGCGAACTATACAATGACTCTCCTGGGTCTCTAATTTGCTGACTGCAGATCTTGGGACTTGACTGCAGATCTTGGGACTCCATAATCATGAGAGCCAATTCCTTGTAATAAATCTTCATCTTGATTTGAGATCTCCTATTGGTTCTGCTTCTCTGAAGAACCCTAATACATGCTGCAATAAATTATTTGTATTAAAAGATTAGCATAAAATTCTAATTCCCCTTCTGATTAGTGGAGGAAATGTATTTTATTTTACATTTAAATTTTGTCCTTAAAAAAAATTTTGTCCTGCTCATGTATCAATTTCTTCACATTCATGTTTTAGTATCTCTGAGATTTTACTCACAATAAAAACAAAATAGTTCCATGGAGGCAGCATTTGTTGGCAATGAGTATTAACAACTCGGAATAGTAATTCTGAGCCTATATAGAAATAAATATGTATGTGCATCTGTATAGGTATGTGTGGTGTGTGTGTGTGTATGTGTGTATGTTTGTACATATATTTAGAGAGAGAGAGAAGATATAATACAGGTACAGGTACACATATAAACAGTCTTTTCTTTATCATGCGTGCTGACCTGCCATGGCCTTATTTTTTTTGTTTGTTTTCAAGTGTACCTACTTCCTGATTCCCCATATGTCTCTCTTTCTCTCTCTCTCTCTCTTTGTTACCCCTGAATCTGTTACTTTAATAGCCCTTCAGGTCTAACCCAGTTAATTAATGATGAGTATCAGTTTCCCAAGTGATGTGATTCAAATACCTCTTGAGTGAAGTTCTAAATGTGTCTTCTTTCACAATATATGTACTCAAGAGTATCACAAACTTTGCCATGGAATCATCAATTTTTCTAGTGCCTTTTGAGGAATTCAATTTGACAAACAACATGTTTGCATAATTATCATGTGTTGCCCAAGAGAAATTTCATCAAGTCTCTTATTTGGAAAATGGGGATAATATAAAAGTAATATTACTATACAAGGAAGGAAAAAATAAGCAAGAGCAAAAAATTAATTTCAATAGTAAATTAATTAGGTATAATTTTTTTCCTACTCATTACCAGTCTGCAAATTAGTCATTCTAATTATTTAAACTGAAATAAAAATAACATCACCAATTTGCTAAGCCACAGAAAGATATGGAAAATCCGACAGCATGTTAACAGGAAAAAAACGAAAACTGAATGATTACCTTTTAATATTAAAAGTTAAATAAATGAACTTTTCAAATTGTATTTTATTTACTGATGAGAATACTGACATATCCACTATGATTTTATAGTGCTTTCCATAAAGTGTCATATATTTTATCTCATTTGGTCATCAAAATACTCCTGTGAGATAATTTTATTGTCCCCATTTTACAATGAGAAAACCAGGGTTATAAGAAGTTAATGATTTGAGATCACAGAGTAATTCTCAGAGAAATTTCATGTTTAAATTTCTTTAAAAGATCATTAGCTACTCAAACATAAGACAAATTACAGGTATGCAAGAGGAATGTCTGCTTAAATGGAGAATAAGGTATTCACTTGGAAAGGGATTTAACTCTTTTGAACATCATGTCTGAGGCAGTGGGCTGATTGCTTATTATTTGTATGTTATGATTGAAGAGGGAACACATAACTTTGGTAATGGCATTACCACTTTCAGTTCCTTTTTCCTTCAGAAATATTAATTTTGAGGATTAAAAGAAATAAATATTAAATTATCTATAATGTTACTACTTTGACGAAATAGACCTATTAACGCTCTACTTTTTCCTAGCTCATTCTAGCAATTGTAGTAATCTGAATAATACCCTCCCCCCAAAAAAATTAATGTCCATTTAGAAGCTCATGTGACCTATTTTGGAAATATGGTCTGTGAAGGTTTTATTAAGGTAAGAATCTTGATGAAATCATATTGAATCAGGTTGGGCCATAAAGCCAATAAGAGTATCCTTGTAAGACACAGGAAAGGATATAGAGACACAAAGGAGAGAAGGGCCTGGGAAACTGAGGGAAAGATTGTAGTTATGCTGCCACAAGCCAAGAAAGCCTGGAGCCACCAGAAGCTGGAAAAGACTAGCAAGTGAAGTAGGAAGCCAGACTGGACTCCAGAGATGGGGCTTGGACACTGAACCAGATTGAGGACTAGCTAAAACAGGGCCAGCACAGAAGCAGCTTTCAATCAGAAAAGCCCACCAGTGTGCTATGTCAATTTACTGTTGCCATGGCAACACCTGGGAGTTACTGCCCTGACCCTTTCCATGGCAATGACCCAATGATACTATCCCTTGCCTAGAAATGTCTGCATGAACCACCCCTGAATCTGCATGCAATTAAAAGTGGGTATAGGCCGGGCGCGTTGGCTCACGCCTATAATCCCGGAAATTTGGGAGGCCAAGGCGGGCAGATCACTTGAGGTCAGAAGCTTGAGAGCAGCCTGGCCAACATGGTGAAACCTCTACTAAAATATAAAAATACAAAAATACAAAATACTAAAAATACAAAAATTAGCCAAGCATGGTGGCACATGCCTGTAATCCCAGCTACTCAGGAGGCTGAGGCAGGAGAATGGCTTGAACCTGGGAGGCGGAGGTTGCAGTGAGCCAAGATCACGCCACTGCGCACCAGCCTGAGCAACAGAGACTCCGTCTCAAAAAAAAAAAAAAAAAGGGTGCAGGGGTGTGTGCAAATATGACTGCAAAACTGCCCTAAGCTGCTATTTTCTCCCTATGAGGCAGCCCTGCTCTGCAGAAGCAGTCATGGAGCTCTAACATCTCCAGAGCTGTAACACTGCCTCTTCAATAAGTCTGTTTTCTTCTACCTCTGGCTTGCCCTTGAATTCTTTCCTGGGCAAAATCAAGAACCCTTACAGGGTAAAGCTCCGATTTGGGGCTCTCCTGCCATGCACTACAAGCATTCTCCCTTTGAACGTTCAGACGATGTGGTCCCACTGACACCTTGATTTTAGACTCTGGCCTCCAGACCTGTGAGAGAGTAAATGTCTGTTGTTTTAAACCACTGAGTTTGTAGCAATTTGTATGGCAGCCCTAGAAAAATAATATACCAATTAACAGTATGTAAAAATTACCAATGGGGTACAATGTTCACTATTTTGATAATAGGTATACTAGAAGCCCAACCTCCACCAGTAGGCAACATACCTATGTAATAAACATGCACATTGACCTCCCGAATCTAAAACAAAATAAAATGTTTAAAAAAGCAAAGAAACAACAAGGTTTCATTAGCAATATTACTTTCAGAGTATCCTTAGCTCTGATAGCAATAATGTTTACATAAAGAAAGGCAAATAAATGTCAAATATATCTCTGCATTAAAAAATACTAAAAATTTATCTCTAACCTATTAATATGAACAAAAGATTGATGTAACAACAAAAACAATAAATCATTATCAAATTGATCAAAGCTTTTTCCTTCGAAGATATAAACTCTATTTTGTAATTATATTAAATTTAAATACATGCAATAGTAATACAGCACCAATGTGCTAAAGAGCTCCTTTATCATAGCACAATAATTAGAGCCAGGGTTTAAATCAAGCTTTAATATTTTGTCACTGAGTCCCCTTTGGGCAAGCTACTTCATCTCTCACGAAGCTACAATTACCCCCCTTTATAACTTATGTGACCAAGTGATCCCAATTAGTAGGTGGGAAAATCTGGATTTGAATAAGCAAAATAAACTGTACATCATATTTATTTAACAAACTGCTATTTCTCTTTGATTTCGCAAATATCTCTCTAGTTGTATGATATATTAACAATTTTTAAAAGAGAATTTAAAAGATTAACAAGTAGAATTGAAACGGATGTATGCTGTCACCATTCAAATAAATACTAATAGTTTTTACAGTGCTAGCCAATGAAATGACTTAGGAGAAAAAAAAATAGGAGGAGGTAAAACATTATCTTTTCCAGACAATATGATTGTTTGATTGCAATATCATGTGTAAACAAATGCAAAGTGTTAAAAATGAAGAAAAGAATAAGAAGATTTCTAACAGCTGACACCACCTTTGCAAAATTGACAATAAGAGAAATCTGATGTAGTTGACTCCATCTTGCTTCTAACCTCTAAGCTATCCTTGGTCAATCCTGGGGGTAGGCCAAGCTACTGTGGGAAGAATTTAGTTTATAATTTAACATTAAAGCAAGGATGATAATAGCCCTCCCCAAAACTAAACTGACTTTCTAAAACTAATGCAGTTATTAGGCAAATCAGTTTCCCCAGAGGCTTAGAAATTAGGGTTTTTCAAGGATTATTTGGTGGGAAGGGGGCTAGGGAATGGAGAACGTTGATTGATTGATTAGGGATGAAATCATAGGTGTATGAATAATGATCCTTGTACCCTGAGTCAGCCTCCAGGTGCGGGCCACAGGACCGGTTGAGTCACAAGTTGCAGGTTGAGGTAGAGCTGGTTATCAGAAATGTTAAAGTCTGAAAAGACATCTCAAAAGGCCAATCACAGGTTATATAATAGGGATGTTTTAGCCACAGGTATATTGGGGAAGTTACAAATCTTGTGACCTCCAGAACAATAGCTGGTTATCATTTTACTATGCCTACATCTCAGCAGAATTCAGGCTCCTCTCATAACGCAACTGTGTGGACTTTCATAATGACTGATCAAATTCACAAATAATAATATTAACCTTAAATGTAAATGGGCTAAATGCCCCAATTAAAAGGCACAGACTGGCAAATTGAATAAAGAGTCAAGACCCATCAGTGTGCTGTATTCAGGAGACCCATCTCACATGCAAAGACTCACATAGGCTCAAAATAAAGGGAGGGAGGAAGATTTACCAAGCAAATGGAAAGCAAAAAAAGAGCAGAGGTTGCAATCCTAGTCTCTGATAAAACAGAATTTAAACCAACAAAGATAAAAAAAAAAAGACAAAGAAGGGCATTACATAATGGTAAAGGGATCAATGCAACAAGAAGAGCTAACTATCTTAAATATATATGCACCCAATACAGGAGCACCCAGATTCATAAAGCAAGTTCTTAGAGACCTACAAAGAGACTTAGACTCCCACACAATAATAGTGGGAGACTTTAACACCCCACTATCAATATTAGACAGATCAATGAGACAGAAAATTAAAAGAATATTCAGGACTTGAACTCAGCTTGGAACAAGCAGACCTAATAGACATCTACAGAACTCTCCACCCCAGATCAACATAATATATATTCTTCTCAGCACCACATAGCATTTATTCTAAAATCGACCACACAATTGGAAGTAAAACACTCCTCAACAAATCTAAAGAATGGAAATCATTACAAATAGCCTCTCATACAACAGAGCAATCAAATTAGAACTTAGGATTAAGAAACTCACTCAAAACCACACAACTACATGGAAACTGAACAACCTGCTCCTGAATGACTACTGGGAAAATAACAAAATTAAGGCAGAAATAAATAAGTTCTTTGAAACCAATGAGAACAAAGACACAATGTACCAGAATCTCTGGGACACAGCTAAAGCAGTATTTAGAGGGAAATTTATAGCACTAAATGCCCACAGGAGAAAACAGGAAAGATCTAAAATTGACACTCTAACATTACAATTAAAAGAACTAGAGAAGCAAGAGCAAACAAATTCAAAAGCTAGCAGAAGCCAAGAAATAACTAAGATCAGAGTAGAACTGAAGGTGATACGACACGAAAACCCCTTCAAAAATTCAATGAATCCAGGAGCTGTTTTTTTTTTTCAAAAGATTAACAAAATAGATACACCTCTAGACAGACTAACAAAGAAGAAAATAAAGAATCAAATAGACACAATAAACAATGATAAAGGGGAGATCACCACTGATCACACAGAAATACAAATTACCATCAGATAATACTGAGAGGTGACAACGTGCTAGCAGCCCTCGCTCGCTCTCGGCACCTCCTCGGCCTCAGCGTCCACTCTGGCCATGCTCAAGGAGCCCTTCAGCCCGCCACTGAGCTGTGGGGGCCCCTCTCTGGGCTAGCCAAGGCTGGAGCCAGGTCCCTCTGCTTGTGGGGAGGTGTGGAGGGAGAGGCACAGGTGGGAACTGGGGCTGCGCGCGGTGCTCGCAGGCCAGTGCGAGTTCCAGGTGGGCGCAGGCTCAGCAGGCCCTGCACTTGGAACCACCGGCCGGTGCTACCGGCCCCTGGCAGTGAGGGGCTTAGCACCTGGGCCAGCAGCTGTGGAGGGTGTGCTGGGTCCCCCAGCACTGCTGCCCCGCCCGCGCCATGCTCGAATTCTCCCCGGGCCTCAGCCGCCTCCCTGTGGGGCAGGGCTCAGGACCTGCAGCCCGCCATGCCCGAGCCTCCCCTTCCCCCCCATGGACTCCCATGCAGCCCAAGCCTTCCCGACGGGTGCCACCCCCTGTTCTGTGGCACCCAGTCCCATCGACCGCCCAAGGGCCGAGGAGTGCAGGTGCACAGCAAGGGACTGGCAGGCAGCTCCACCCGTGGCCCTGGCGCGGGACCCACTAGGCAAAGCCAGCTGGGCTCCTGAGTTGGGTGGGGACTTGGAGAACCTTTATGTCTAGCTAAAGGATTGTAAATACACCAATCAGCACTCTGTGTCTAGCTCAATGTTTGTAAATGCACCAATCAGTGCTCTGTGTCTAGCTAATCTAGCGGGGACTTGGAGAACTTTTATGTCGAGCTAAAGGATTGTAAATACACCAATCAGCACTCTGTGTCTAGCTCAACGTTTGTTAACACACCAATCAGCACTCTGTGTCTAGCTCAAGGTTTGTAAATGCACCAATCAGCACCCTGTGTCTAGTTCAAGGTTTGTAAATGCACCAATCAGTGCTCTGTGTCTAGTTAATCTAGTGGGGACTTAGAGAACTTTTAAGTCTAGTTAGAGGATTGTAAATACACCAATCAGCACTCTGTGTCTAGCTCAGGGATTGTAAATGCACCATTCAGCACCCTGTCAAAATGGACCAATCAGCTCTCTGTAAAATGGACCAATCAGCTCTCTGTAAAATGGGCCAATCAGCAGGATGTGGGTGGGGCCAGAAGAGGGAATAAAAGCAGGCTGCCCGAGCCAGCAGTGGCAACCCGCTCGGGTCCCCTTCCACATTGTGGAAGTTTTGTTCTTTCATTTTTTGCAATAAATCTTGCTGCTGCTCACTCTTTGGGTCCACACTGCCTTTACAAGCTGTAACACTCACCGCAAAGGTCTGCAGCTTCCCTCTTGAGGCCATCGAGACCACGAACCCACCAGAAGGAAGAAACTCTGAACACGTCCAAACATCAGAAGGAACAAACTCTGGACACACCATCTTTAAGAACTGTAACACTCACCATGAGGGCCCGCGGCTTCATTCTTGAAGTCAGTGAGACCAAGAACCCACCAGTTGCGGACACAATACTATAAACAACTCTACACAAATAAACTAGAAAATCTAGAAGAAATGGATAAATTCCTGGACACATACACCCTCCTAAGACTAAACCAGGAAGAAATCGAATCCCTGAATAGACCAATAAGTTCTGAAATTGAGGCAGTAATAGCCTACCTACCAAAAAAAGCCCAGGACCAGATGGATTCACCACCAAAATCTACCAGAGTTACAAAAAGGAGGTGGTACAATTCCTTCTGAAATTATTCCAAACAATAGAAAAAGAGGGACTCATCCCTAACTCATTTTATGAGGCCAGCATCATCCTCATACCAAAACCTGGCAGAGACACACACAAAAAAGAAAATTTCAGGCCAATATCCCTGATGAACATCAATGCAAAATTCCTCAATAAAATACTGGCAAACCGAATTCAGCAGCACATTAAAAAGCTTATCCACCACAATCACAAGGTCAGGAGTTCAAGACCAGTCTTACCAACATGATGAAACCCCATCTCTACTAAAAAAATACAAAAATTAGCTGGGCGTGGTGGCATGTACCTGTAATCTCAGCTACTCACGAAGCTGATGCAGGAGAATCGCTTGAACCTGGGAGGCAGAGGTTGCAGTAAGCTGAGATCACACCACTGCACTCCAGCCTGGGCAACAGAGGGAGACTCCATCTCAAAAAAAAAAAAAAAAAAAAAAAAAAAAAAGGCTTATCCACCACAATCAAGTCAGCTTCATCTTTGCATCTTTGGGATGCAAGGCTGGTTCAACATATGCAAATCAGTAAACATAATCCATCACATAAACAGAATGACAAAAAACACATTATTATCTCAATAGATGCAAAAGTCCTCTGATAAAATTCAAAACCCCTTTATGCTAAAAACACTCAATAAACTAGGTATTGATGGAACATATCTCAAAATAATAAGACCTATTTATGACAAACCCACAGCCAATATCATACTGAATGGACAAAAGCTGGAAGCATTCCCTTTGAAAACCGGCACAAGACAAGGATGCCCTCTCTCACCACTCCTATTCAACATAGTATTGGAATTTCTGGCCAGGGCAATCAGGCAAAAGAAAATAAAGAGTATTCAAATAGGAAGAGAGGAAGGCAAATGATCTCTGTTTGCAGATGACATGGTTGTATATTTAAAAAACCCCATTGTCTCAGCCCAAAATCTCCTTAAGCTGATAAAAAACTTCGTCAAAGTCTCAGGATACAAAATCAATGTGCAAAAATCACAAGCATTCCTATACAACAATAACAGACAAACAGAGAGCCAAATCATGAATGAACTCCCATTCACAATTGCTTCAAAGAGAATAAAATACCTAGGAATCCAACTTACAAGCGATGTGAAGGACCTCTTCAAGGAGAACTACAAACCACTGCTCAATGAAATAAAAGAGGACACAAACAAATGGAAAAACATTCTGTGCTCATGGACAGGAAGCATCAATATTGTGAAAATGGCCATACTGCCCAAAGCAATTTATAGATTCAATGTTATTCCCATCAAGCTACCATTGACTTTCTTCACAGAATTAGTAAAAACTACTTTAAATTTTATATGGAATCAAAAAACAGCCCGTATAGCCAGGACAATCCTAAGCAGAACAAAGCTGGAAGCAAGCATCACGCTACCTGACTTCAAATTATACTACAAGGCTACAGTAACCAAAACAGTAAGGTACTGCTACCAAAACAGATATATAGACCAATGGAACAGAACAGAGGCCTCAGAAATAACACCACACATCAACAACCATCTGATCTTTGACAAACCTGACAAAAGCAATGGGGAAACGATTCCCTATTTAATAAATAATGTTGGGAAAACTGGCTAGCCATATGCAGAAAACTGAAACTGTACCCCTTCCATACACCTTATACAAAAATTAACTCAAAATGGATTAAAGATTTAAATGTAAGACCTAAAACCATTAAAAATCCTAGAAGAATACCTAAGCAATACCATTCAGGATGTAGGCATGAGCAAAGACTTCATGACTAAAACACCAAAAGCAATTGCAGCAAAAGCCAAAATTGATGAATGGGATCTAATTAAACTAAAGAGCTTCTGCATAGCAAAAGGAAACAACATCACAGTAAACAGGCAACCTACAGAATGGGAGAAAAATTTTGCAATCTATCAGTCTGACAAAGGGCTAATATCCAGAAGCTATAAGGAACTTAAACAAATTTACAGAAAAAAACAACAACCCCATCATAAAGTGGGTGAATGATATGAACAGATGCTTTTCAAAAGAAGACATTTATGCAGCCAACAAACATATGAAAAAAAGCTCATCATCACCGGTCATTAGTGAAATGCAAATTAAAACCACAATGAGATACCATCTCACACCAGTTAGAATGGTGATGCTTAAAAAGTCAGCAAACAGCAGATACTGGAGAGGATGTGGAGAAATAGGAACACTTTTACGATGTTGGTGAGAGTGTAAATTAGTTCAACCATTGTAGAAGACAGTGTATTCCTCAAGGATCTAGAACTAGAAATACCATTTGACACAGCAATCCGATTACTTGTTATATACCCAAAGGATTATACATCATTCTACTATAAAGACACATGCACACGTATGTTTATTGCCGCACTGTTCACAATAGCAAAGACTTGGAAGCAACCCAAATGCCCATCAATGTTAGAATGGATAAAGAAAATGTGGCATATATACACCACAGAATAGTATGCAGCCATAAAAAAGAATGAGTTCGTGTCCTTTGCAGGAACATGGATGAAGCTGGAAACCATCATTCTCAGCAAACTAACACAGGAATAGAAAACCAAATACCACATGTTTTCACCCATAAGTGGGAGTTAAACAATGAGAACATATGGGCACAGGGAGGGGAACATCACACACCACAGCTAGTCAGCAGAGTAGGGGACAAGGGGAGGGACAGCACTGGGAGAAATACCTAATGTAGATGATGGGTTAATGGGTGCAGCAAACCACCATGGAACATGTATACCTATGTAACAAACCTGCACATTCTGCACATGTATCCCAGTACTTGAAGTAAATAAATATAATAAAAAATAGATAATAAATTTAAAAATAAAAATAAAAACATTAAACCTAAAAAAGTTAAAAAGTTGAAATTCAACATTATCTGTTTCTCTCTTGCTCTCTATACACATATTATTTAAATTTTTCCACAATATGTATTATATTAACCATATAATATATAATAAAATATGTATTAATATATTGATATATTACTTTCACAATAAACCTAACAGTAATTAAAAAAAGAGAACTGAGTAAGTGTGGGCCATCATGTGCTTTAGTAGGATGATGCATGCTGTACAGAACTTTATCTTCCTCAATTTAATCTGTAAATAAATTATGATTCTGATACAATTACTAATGGGATTTTATTTTAACGAACAAGTATAGCCTATGATTTATATGGAGGAATAAGTAAGAATAAACAAGGAAATATTTTAAAATATACCAATGAACAGATCTTTTCTTTCTAAGATATCAGCCATAGCAACAATCTTGAAAAGGTATTATTTGCTTTTTGTGTAAAAATGAGTAAGTTGATCAAATGGCATATAGAGAAACAGACCCATGTATATACTGGAATATATTTGTATTAGTTCATTCTCACACTGCTATAAAGAACTACCTGAGACTGGGTAATATAAAGAAAAGAGGCTTAATCACCTCATGGTTCTGCAGGCTGTACAGGCTTCTGCTTCTGGGAGAACTCAGGAAACTTACAATTATGGTGCAAGGTGAGGCAGGCGTGTTTTAAATGACCGGAGCAAGCGGAAGAGAGTAAAGAGGAAGGTGCTACAAACTTTTAAACAACCAGATCTCATGAGAACTCGCTCACTATAATGAGAACAGCAAAGGGAAAATCCATCCCCATGATCCAATCACCTCCCACCAGGCCCCTCCTCCAACACTGGGGTTTACACTTCAACATAAGATTTGAGTGGGGACACATATCCAAATCATATCAATATTATATTTTAAAATGACATTTCAAATCATAACAAATCATGACACTGCAAATTATGGACTATTCAAAAATAGTATTTGTCAAGTTGGCTATTTTTTAAGCCAAATAAAGTTAGGTTCCTACTTCGCCTCATACTTTAAAATCCCAAATAAATAACTAACTAGAAATACAAACTCCAAATATTTGCAATTGTTAAGAAATGAGAAGCAGTCTAGTCCTGCACCCATGTATGGTCATATCTGTGCCACTAGCTAATGTGGAAAACCTGAAAGAGCTGTTAAAAGAGCCTGTCACAGACCACTACACAGTGTGGCCCAAGTTATGTAAAATGTAACTACATAAGCATACCTGCCTATGCCACTTAAAGGAGTCATACTACATTGTTGTTGACAGAGCTTACTTCTGGTAAATGGAATTTCATTAAAGGAGAGAATGAAAACAGAGCAACAGAAATTAGAAAGGTTTTCCCATGCTTTGATGTGTTAGAAGTTTCTTTTCTAACAAATGTAATATATTCCTCAAATAATTTGGTAGTGTGCATACTATAAACTTAAAATTATTCTATTTTTTTCTTTCACAGCTTTTATAGTGACATAACTCTTTTGAAAACGTTCTTTGGTCAGTTGATTAACACGGAATGGATTTCGTGCTCTTTTATCTTGCCAGTTGATGCTGTCACAGTAAAATTTAAAACAAAACTTCAAACAAATTTATCATTAAAATATTTTATTATCTATTTACTTCAGTAGCAAAAAAATGTCTAAATATTCACTACCTGGTCTATTACAAACAATTGAGTCACAGAAAATAACACGGTGTAAATGTTAAGAATTCTGTTTATATTATGAAAGTGAAAACAGAACTTATTTCTACCAATCTAAAATTATCTTACAAAATATTTATTTAGGAATAAAACATTCAATCTCATGCCAGTTATGTACCAAAGGTTTCAAAATGCATGTAGCTTGAATTGGCAGGAGTCTCATTAAAGACCACCAGCAAGAAAGCTAAATAAAATAAAAACTTTAAATAGTTTTTATTTAAAAAACAGTTTAACTCTTTATAGAAAATTCTCAAAGAATGTCAAAAGAAGATTCCATGCATAATTACAGTAAACTTCTGTCCTAGCTCACCACCATTTTCCCCCAAATTGTCCTTTATCTTTCTCAACCTTGTATCTTTCTATTCTCTTTTTCTAAAAGAGAAATCCTGAAAAATCTTCTTCCAACTCACTCTGTGTAGGGTGCATGTGGTTTCAGCCTATCATTCCTATTGGCCTTCTGCTAAGAACTCTTACTCTTTTCTAAGTGAAGTAATTCTGAGATCTCTTGCTTCTCCACTCATCAGCCAGGATAAGTTTCTTAAAACAGAGATCAGATTATATCACTCCTTTACCAGAAACCCTCCATATGTTTTTGACCCTCTGACTTCCTAAAATTCTTCCCCTGTCACTTAGCTCCCATATGAAAATATAAAAAATGTGATCTTAAAAATTCATAAATATAACAATTATTTTTGTTAAGAAAAATAGCATTAGCTTGGGGATCAACAGTTCTAGTTTCAATCATTTCACAAGATGCAATGAATTAAAATGACCTGACCAATAAGTGATGGTCAAAAATTCAAACTTTTTAACCTATTGCTGACCATGAAAATATTCTATTTTATTTTCAGTCTGATAAGAGTATTGGCTGGTGAAAACAAAAATTATTATAGCTCTAATAAAATATAAAACAAATCCAAATCAAATAAAGGAGTACAATCAGCCAATTGTGCCACTACTATTAAAAATTCTAGTATAAGTATGATAATATATATTTTCTCTGTATGTTTATGCTTTATTTTGTGTGTGTGACATGTTTAAATAAATCAGTCATATAAATAAAGAATTGTCATTTAAATTGAGATGTATTGAATTAAGTTTGTAACCAATATTTAATCTTCTAAGAAAAATTAAATTTCTAAGTCTTCCTTATTAGCTGTACTTAGCTTACTGTATAATAAGAAAACTTACAACTTATTTATTAGGTTAGCCTTAATAAATCGAATGTGAAACAAAACTTAAGAATTAATGAGTGTTAAGCACCAAGTTTTATGCAAATATTTCTACTGTTTCCATGAACTATTTATTTTTTTCAGGCCTGAAACAAGAGACCATGGAAGGCTGGAACAAAACAAAATCAAGTAATGAAGAATGTGCTGTACCAAGACCATTGCTCCTTTCTGATCATTCTGATTTATCACTGAATCAGTCCAGATAATACTGGATATAATTAAACCTTAGTAGTAAACAAATTTTAAACATAAACTAGACTCCTTACTTCAAATAATTCAATCATGAAACAGTACATAGAATGGATTAGAAGGATAATTGATTGAGGTTGATAATTGAACAATGCAGTTCATCCCAAATACTTTTTAAAATGAATGGGTATACATTAAAATAAGATTGGCTATGTGTTGGAGGTGGTAGTAAAGAGAGCAATCAAAATAGACTGCAAGATTTTTAGACAGAGACTTGAGATAACTATATTCCCCATGGTAGAGTTTCTACAAGTGTTCCTTAGATTCTAAAGAACTTAGGCTAGATAGGATCATGGCA
Organism: Homo sapiens; assembly: GCF_000001405.40. Classification (NCBI taxonomy): domain Eukaryota; kingdom Metazoa; phylum Chordata; class Mammalia; order Primates; family Hominidae; genus Homo; species Homo sapiens. Next base: position 187,959,645 of record NC_000002.12, read on the forward strand.
GTGAGTAGAACTGTAGTTTAGACAATAAAGGTCTCTTTAAACTCTAAGATCCTAATACTATGTTTATGTGTGACAGTGTCTTTTATCTCCATAAAATATATCTGTGTTACTGAAATGCCATGGGTTCAGTCTAGGTCCTGCTGCTTGCCACACAAAAAACCAATCACTGAGACAATGAGTATTGCCAGGGAAGAAGGCTTTAATGGGGTGCTGCAGCTGAGGAGATGGAAGTCCCAAATCCCTCCCTCACTGACTAACATTAGGAGTTTATATAGCAGGGAAGAAATGTAAGTATGTGCAGGAAAACAGGATTAGGGAGGAGCAAGGAAGAGGAGTTGTACAGCAGGAAGTAGTTGGTTGCTTAGGCAATCATTATGGGTGAGTGTTCTGACCTCTAATTGTCCAGATGCAGTGATCTGGTAAGTTTCATTTCCTTGATAATATCTGAGAGGCCTGATAGTTGGTTTCCTGAGAAAGGAACACAGGTAAGACAAATGTAACTTTCTCATGTTTCAAGACTCAGAAGGCCAATTCCTACATTTACTCAAAATAAACCATAAACATCAGTTCTATGGGACAATTGGGTTAGTTTCATTTGCAGTCACCATTTGTACATTTTTTTTTACTTCAGCTTCCTCCTTCCTTCCTAACATTTACTGTTTTTTCATATGTATCTCATAATTCAAACAAATTATATTTTAGTGTACTTCTCTTTGTATATGTCTATCTTCACTATTCACTTACTTTTAATATTGTGATTCTAGGCATCTTGTCCTATTCACCACTGTACCTCTAATTTTACCCAGGACACTGCATAATTTATCCTTATCTATACATTTGAAAGATTGGCATGCTGTTTGAATAATCAGTATTCTTATTTGTCAAGTCATTTTTCCTTCACTTAGAAAGTTTTACTTTACTTTTCTCCAACTTTCAGCCAAACAGGGATAAAGCAAAAAAAAAAAAAAAAAAGAGAGAGAGACTTATATACTAAATTCAGCTTATTTTATTTTGATCTGTTTAAATGTGCTCATTAGAAAAGTATTCTATTACTAATAGTAAGCCATTAGTAAGAGTATATTCTGGGAATATTCTCAGAATAATTTAAAGCTTATGGGGTCAACTTTAGGAACCAAGTATTTAAAAAAATATATTGATACTGGAATAATCTTGAAACAGTTCAATTTGATGATGTAATATATCCTTTGGACCCTTCACATTTTAAAATTAAAATTGAAAAATAATTGAATTTAAAGAAAAAGTAATTCAAACCACTAGCCAGCCAATTTTTCACAAACAAAAATACAATCTTGTCATTTTGGCAACTTCTCTATGAGTGGTAGAGACTTCCTGAATTTCATTTATGTCACAAAATGTTCTTATAATATTTTTCCACACAACCTGCCTTCCATAGAGGCCTCCAGTTATGAGATACAACACAGCGATATGATGTAATGGAAAGAGCAGTGAGCCTGTGCACCCTGGAGCAACAAGTTTGTCATTAACTAACTGGAGACTAGATCTCCATTATTTTATCTGTGACAAGATTAGAACTGAATACATAGGAATATTATTTATAATAAATATTTTAATAAAATTTGATTTCTGTAATCAGAATAGGCAAGATGATATGATGCTCTTACTGAGGTAAGTAGAATCTATTTCAGGATTAACACTTTGACGCACTATAAAATGTTTCTGCATTAAAATTAAGTTATATGAATTCTCAATCAATGAAGAACAATGTTTTGATCAGAGAGAAGGGAGTACATGGTTTATTTTGTATATTTTGAGTAAAAACTATGAGATTTAAGTTAGATTTTCTTTAGGTCATTGTGACATTTAGATAGGCTTTTTATAAAATAAATAAGGAAATTCAAAGCAGTAATTCTTACTTGGGAGCAATATTTTGATCAACACTAATTTGTTACTTTCCATTCAAATTTCTTATAATGGACCTATCTGCATGGTAGTGCCATTTAACTTGCCACATGTAAATTGTCATATTTGAGATAATAGTGCTGGAATTTCTTAAAATCCTTTAAAGAGATGTTACAAGTTTATGCCAATGAATTATGGATTTTACTGGGTAGGAGACCAAACTCAAAAGTCCTAAATATACAGGCTTTTCAGAATACTATAAACAAATACTTTTGTAATTCTTTTATAAATAAAAATATTTATTAACACTTAAAATGAGTGAGTATGAGCCCAAAAAGATCCCAAAACCAAAAAGAACAATCCTCTTCTTATAGATATCATTCATCAATTACATAAAAATGTGAGGTTTCCATACATTACAAAACATACACTCTGTCCATACGTTACAGAACAATACCCCACAGGGAGTAGGTCACAGTTTTTTTCATTATCAAAATGAAGGGTTGTACTACATTAATGACCACCATTTTTTTGGCTCTACATTTATGCTCTTCAAAGGTTAAAATTTTTTAAAATAACAGAAACAATTTTTGGGTAATGTTGATAACTATTATATTATACTTTTATGCTTTAAAATTCATATAGACTATTTTGCATATTCTTAACCTAAGCCATAAATCTGTCAGTGTAACATTTCTCTCACAAATATTGATAATAAAAAGACCTAGCTAACATGTTAGAGTGGTAATCAAATGCCATCCAAAGAATTGAAGTTATTTTCCTTGATCCCTTTCCTAGTACTTTTATAAACACTAGCCAAAAGGAAATAAAATTTATTTTTGAATATTAGGGATAAAGTTTATTTGGTTAGAAGATAAAGTACATTGATAGTCATAGTTGATCACCTAGTATTTGATATGCATATAGGGTTATAGGGCCAATTCTCTTGGCATAGCTACAGTCATTGACCTTAGACACATAATGTGACTTATGGGAATTACATCATGTATCTTCCCTATCAGTCTACTTCACTGTCATTCTTACCATAACTTCTCTATATACCAGCTCAGTTTTTCCATGCAGGCGATAGAAACAGTTTTTGTTATTTTAAGTAGAAGGAATTCTCCTGAAAGGTATGAGGGGATGGTGGTGGGGACAGATCACACAATAGATGTGAAGTTTGAACTGGCTAGAAGAATGGGAAGGATCTGAGGGAATCTTCAGTGGGCTATGCAGCAGGAAACTGAGAAACAATCACACAGCCAAGAGTCAGCCTGGATGCCTGGCCTTCCCTGCCACAGTGATGACCTGTGACACTTTCAACATTGACTGAACCAGCAGCTGGGAAGGAAAAGATATAGCCTTCTCAGCTGTGACATGGGGGCATACGACTCCTTGAAGACATACAGGAAGAGATTAGGAATAAAATTAAATGAGAGACTTCCATAAAACAACTAAAATCCATTGTACCTACTTTCTATTTCCAGATATGGTATAAATTCCAAAATTTAGGTCAATGGTTTAACCACATTGAATTTGAAGATATAAAGTGTTTTTCATCATCTGAATGGCCTAATTTAGGTCTTCTGTTCAGAACTAATCGCAAAATGAGAAAGCACTTTGCAATATATTCCTAGCAATACATGAACTTAAGAAACTATTTTATTATGAAAAACTTGCCAATAAAATAAACATTTATACACTTATAAACCTGGGGATATTTAAAAGCCAATTTCTCTCCAGATAAAACACTTATTACTTGAGAAGGAAAAACTGAATGGAGCCCAGTTGTCTTAATTGGCACTAGTATGTGCTGTCTTGGTAACAGCGAGTAACACAGAATAAAGTGCCAAAAGGATAATATATAGGGCAGGTAAATTTGGAGAAGCTAGGAAAAGCATTAGTCTATGTCCACAGAAATTTGTCTTAATTGGGGTATCACAGAAAGAAAATGAGAAAACAAAATAAGAAGAGTGTGTATATGAGTAAAGAGCCACCACACTTTTGTGACTGGCTGGCCTAGAATCAAGACATCTACTTTCTCTAATTTGGCAATGTTGTTCACAGTATATTTGGACTGCTCTCTACTAAAAAACGTAATAAGCTTTTGAAGTTCAAAACGGATTTCTGGAGAAAATTCTATGTCTGTATTTCTGGATCCATCACCTCGAATCTTATTTTCTTTCTTAGTTAATTGAAATAGGTAGCTTTCTCATGGAACCTCTAATGTCTTCTTAACACGTAACAAAACTACCTTTAGGGATTTAAGGCAAGGTTTGAGAGCTCCCTTCTATGTCCTCTCTAATAATGAGGTATTAGATGTGAGAGTTTCTTTGTTTGTTACCCCATATGTTTATAGTTCAAATACTCTCAGAGAATGTTTAAGAGTAGAATTTTCTGCCTTAAATGTGGTACCTCTTTGTCTTTGAGAGTTTTATTCCTTTTTTCAATCAGAAGAAGCTACAGTCCTTAGCTCCTTCTTGAAGAGTACGACCATTATTTAGGCAGGCTTAGCGCCCTTTCAGGAACTTGAAAGACTTAATCCCACGCTCAGATTGTTCAGGAGCTACTCTACTTTTTAAAATTTTTCCTGAATTACCTCTAATTAGGCAATGGGAACACATAAATCAATTAGTTCTCATGTCAGTGACATGAAAAAGGGTCACTGCACTCATTCTAACTATGGGAGTACAGACCACACTTAGTCCAAGCAAAATACTCCCTAAATTTCACTGATGTAAAGAATTCTAGAGGCTGACATCTAAGAAAGTCACTTTTTCTGAACTGACCCATTGACCCAATGATAAAGTTTCAAAATCAGCTTTAATTGTTTGTAAACAGGATAAAAATGTTAATTTTCTGATTAAAGGAAAATGAAACCAATTAAGAAATATGAAAACCTAGCCATTGTGTCACTTTGGGAAAATCTTTAAATTTACACAAGATTATTTTCAGTAAGTTATGAACCTATGTCTCTAAATCACAATAATGTTGGAGTTTAAAAAAATGTAATTTACTACAATTGTTCATTATTCTGATTTCATATATCTAATTATTGACTTTTCATTAAAATATGGCTTTTTAGAAAATATTTATCAAGAGCTTTGTTATTTATTAACAAATATTTTAATATTGCTGCTGTTTTAAGAGACAAAGAGCATTAGACATATATATGGATAACAACATGTTCCTTGGGAATAAACTGATTATATTTAAATTTAACGTATTCATATTTCAATATTATTTTTGAACCCAAATGATTGATATGACAGTTTAAGTCACTAATTTTGTTTTAAAACATAGGTTTGGTTGGTTGCTTTGTTCATTTTTAAGAGCCAAACTGCTGTCTATGGGGGTCTGATGAAATAAAATGCCTTACCCAGAATTGATCATCAAAGATGATTCAGATCCAGCTATCTCACCTCTGGGCATTCATCCAAAGGAAATGAAATGAGTATATTAAAGACACATTTGCACTCTCATGTTTATTGCAGTGCTATTCACAATAGCCAAGATACTGAATCAATCTAGGTGTTCAACAACATGTAAATTGATAAAGAAAATGTGTATATATATATACACACACACAAATATACGTGTGTGTATATATATATTCTCACGCACAAATATACATGTGTGTGTATATATATATTCTCACACACACACATACACAATTCAGCCATAAAAAAATGAAGTCCCATCATGTGGCAACATGAATGGAACTGGAGGACATTATGTTAAGTGAAATAAGCTACGCACAGAAAGGTAACCACCACATATTCTTATTCATATGTGGAAGCTAAAAAAATTGATCTCATAGATATAAAAAATATAACAGAAGATACTAGAGGCTGAAAAGGGTAGGGGGAAGGTAGGGATAGGGAGATATTTGCTAAAGGCTACAAAATTACAGCTAGATAGGGGGAATAAGTTCAAGTGTTTATAGCACTGTAGGATGACTATAGTTAACAATAATATAGTTAGAATGGATGTTCCTAACACAAAGATAAATCTTCAAGATGATGGATATGCTAATTAACTATGTACCCCACAAATATATACAATTATTCTATGTCAAATAAAAAAGGAAAGAAATGAAATAAAATATAGCATGCCTTTCAAATTTCCGTATGTAGTAGTTTATACTGGCATTGCTTAAGCATTATGAAGAACATTCGTACTATAGGAAGTTTAGAAAAATGTGAAAAAAGGTGTTTCTTTCTCAGCTATGTCTTGTGCAGTATTGCAAATTCTCTTGGTCTCACTTCTTACTCCAGTGACTACTTATGAATAGGCTTCAACCAGTTTCTTTCAACTGGACTCAGACAGTACCTTTCCATAACCCTTAGCTCATATAATGGACTGCTTACCTCCTAACACCAGACTTTGCCAATGCCAGCAATACAGAATAGTCAATATCTATAGAGACACATTGGACAAGGGACAACTGGAATTCCCAGTAAATAGTTAAGAGCTGCTTTTATAAGCCTCCTCATAATGTCTTGTAATTGAACATGTATCTTCTGTAATACCTTTGTATTTACTTTCCTTTTTCCCTGGTCCTACTCTCTATACCCTTAAGCATTCTTTTGCCCAAGGCTCCATTTTCAGAGACATATAGGCTCACTTAGTTACACTAGTTGAAATGATGCCAAAAAATTGAATCCCAAGATGGGATTTTGGAGCTAGATTATTCATAGGTCATTAGGCAATGGGGATTCCATTTCTGGTGTTAAGTGGAGTGGTGGTAACCCCTGACATGGAGTAGCATTAAAATGATTAAGATTCACACTTATGGTGAGATAAGATGCTCATGGACTATGAAGTGGCAGGGTATATAGAACCTTTGGCATGCTCCATATGAAGATAATGATAATTTTAAAATGTTGTACTGTTTTACAATTTCAGGGAAAAAAAATGATAGGTGCAGATCAGCCAGTATCAACTCAAGGAACATTGTGAAAGCTAAAGTTTCTATGGTGATAGTGATCTTTAGGGAGACTCCTATGTCCTGCAGTCACGGGTCAGACTATGCTGAAAATCAGGCCAAGGATCTAAGTATGAGGGAGGGGCAGTTATAAAAGCTATAGTATTAATTCTCTTTAACAGGTTTCCAATTTTAAAAGCAATGTCTTTAAGACCCTGAAATCTGTGGTGGGTACATTTAGTAGACAATCTTGAGACACTCAATACTGCATAAGTCACTGAACCACAGACTTTCTGGCTTGTCAGATGCAGCTTCTTACCCTATGGAGTGAGGAGGATTAGTCTCTCCTTGTTTAGAGACATTGCACACACCTCACCTGAAGCAGATTTCTCACAAGTTGCTGTTTATTCTCCTCAATATCTGCCTCTCCACATCATGTATTGTCTCTATATAATTAAACAAGATCAGCATCAGCACAAACAGCAGCTGTGTGCATTCTTGCTCAGAAGGAAATAGCAAACACCCCAAAGAAGCTGTAAGACCTGCCTACTGTGCTACTGACAAGAGCTAAAGGACATATATTTGACCAGAAAAGGAAGAATGTGACAAAATAATTTAATAACTTGAAAACAATCACCCGTGATTCAGGGTTCAATGACCTGGCAGGGACACCTGGAACAGATTATAGTACCATGCTGAGATAATCTCTTTGAAGTTCATACAAAATGATAGCCTACAGTAAATGAGGTGAAGTTTTTTTTGAGAACTGCCATAATAGAAAAATGAGGAAGAAGTCAGAAGTTCAAAAAGGTGGAAATGTTATACTGGATTTATTAAGTAAAACCAAAGGCCCTCTCACCTCACCATCTACTGTTTTTTCCTTAGGAGCTCCTATAGAATGCTCCATTGTAAGTCAATAAGTAAATCAGTAATACATTTGTGGTGTTGAGAGAGGGGTGGGGGGTGTAGAGGCATCTTTGTGAAATTTAGTAGTGGATTTCTGTGCAGGTTGGTGTGAGCAGATAGAACTGGATGTCCTTTTTATGGAACTCTGGAATGTTAGAGGCCAGTTGGCAGTACTTAACTATCAGAGGCAAGGTACTTGTAATTACTGTAATGGGCAGCAAGATCAGAGTAGCAATCAGGGTGCTCTGACCCTCAGGGATCTGTGGGGATGATTGAAAGAGCATTATGTTCCAACACAGCTGATTGGATGTTATATAACTTGCAAAATAAGAAAAAAAATATGGTCTGGCAAGCAGAAGACTGATGTCAGACACCCAAGTGGAAAATCACAGTTTTTTACTCAGGGTCCAGATATAAGTGACTGCATAGATCCAATATCCATTGATTGGAGGAAAATCTCAGTCCCCTTGAGGAAGGACACAATTTTACACTCTTCGTATATCAGATAAACATCCCTCTATTCTTTCCCTAAAAAGATCTATGACCATTTACCATTTACGAAGAAAAGGACAATAACCAGACTTTTGGAGGGCTGTTGGATACAGCATCTAAACAGACACTAGTAACAGGAAATCCAAAATGCTATCTTGGAACCTCAGTTCAATGTGGTGAAGGGAGCCAGTTAATAAATTATGTTCTGATCCAAGATCATCTTACTCTAAATACAATGCATCCTCAGATTTACCCAGTTATCATTTCCCTTGCCTCTGAATTCAAACATCATAGCAGCTGGCAGAAGCTTCTTTCGCATTTGTTCTCCGGCTTGTGGAGTCAAAGCTACTGAGGTAGAAAAGGCTAAAACAAAAGCCCCTAAAACTGGCCTACCACTGATGAAGACCAATATAATTAATATGAAGTAACACTGTATTCCAGGTGGAATGGAATCAATTAGTGCCATCCCCAAAATTGTAATGAATGCAGGAGTACAGGTGCCAATCATATCCCTGTTTGATTCCTGTTGGCCTCTGCGACATTCAAAAGATGGATGAATAATGTCATATTTCTACAATTTAACATAATGGTAGCCTCAAGTTCAGTTGCCACACCGGTTGTGATATCTACTAAGAGAGATCAACACAGTTGCAGTGCTTAGTATAGAGCTACTAATGTGAAGAGTTCATGTATCACAATCACCATCAATTAGAAATATTAAAAGTAGTACGCTTCATAGGAAAGACAGAAGTATACATGAAGTATGACTGAGACAAATCTTCTCTGGTACAATGTATTATACAGAGATGCAATCATTTTGATATTCTGCACAAGTCACACTAGTCCTCCATATGTTTATATCAGATACAATAACTTTTAAATATAGAACATTATAAAACATAATGAAGATATTTCATAACAGCAATGGAATACATCAAAAAACATAAAAATGAATGCATATGTGCCTAAAAACACAGTTCAAAATATATTTAAAAAATTATACAGAGAAAAAGATAATTTTACCATCATAGAGACATTAGGTAACTCTTTTAGCAACTAATAGAACAATGTATTGGTTCATTCTCATGCTGTTGTAAAGAACTACCTGAGACTCAGTAACTTATGAAGGAAAGAGGTTTAATTGACTCATTGTTCCACATGGCGGCAGAGGGAGGCCTCAAGAAACTTACAATCAAGATGAATTGCGAAGGGGAAGAAAGCACATCTTACCATGGCAGAGCAGGAGAGAGAGTGAATGGGGAGGTGACACACACTTTTAAACCATCAGATCTCATGAGAACTCACTCACTATTAAGAGAACAGCAAGGGGAATATCTGCCCGCAGGGTCCAGTCATCTGCCACTAGGCCCCTCCTCCAATTCAATATGAGATTTGAGCAGGGACACAAATCTAAACCATATCAAACAGCTACACCAAAAAATAAAGTTACAGATAATATAAACAATACTATGAATCATTGTGACTTAGATGTTTATAGAGCACTAAGAACTGCAATTGAAGAGTACAAATTATTTTCCTGTGAATATAAAATGTTCACCAGTTTAAACATATGCTGGGACATCACATAAGTATCAGAAAACTTCAACTGATTGTAGTCATACAGAGTACATTCTAAGACTATAATCAAAGTAGGCATATATAACGATAAAGTATCAGGTAGATCCCCAATATTTGGAAGGTAAACTATATATTTCAAAAAAATCAGATTTCAAAGAGGAAATCACAAGAAAAGTCAAAAAACATATCTAGCAAATGATAACACAATACAATATATCAGAAGTTGTTGGATGCAGCTGAAGTAGTACTTAGAAGCTTCAATGTCTATCTTAGAAAAATATAAAGGTCTAAAATCAATGACTAAAAGATGATGGAAAAAAAGAAGTAGAAGGGAGGAAAAAATGATCAGATTGGATATTAATGAAATCAGCAGCAAACAAAAATAAAGATAATAAGAAAACATTTGGTTCTTTCAAAAGATAACAAAATTGACAAAATATTTATTAGACTATGAAATAAAATGAGAACACAAATTAACAATATCAGAAATGAAAAAGTAATTATTAGTGTAGATCATACAAACAGTAAAATAATAAAAGTATAACCACAATAACTTTTATACTAATTTGAGAACTTAGATGAAATGAATATTTTTAACAGCTATAACGTTAAATTTGATACAATATTAAAGAACATAGTCTTATATTTAATTTGATTTATCAAAAACATTTACATGAAGAAATCTCCAGACCTAGGTTATTTTATTGTTGAATGCCATAAGATATTTAATAAATAAATATTAATTTCACACAAACTCTTCCACAAAAGAAACAAAAGCAAGCACTTTCCACAACATCTTATAAGGCCAGTAAAGCTCATAAGAAAACCTGACAATACCATTTCAAAAAATAAAATTATAGGCCAAAATCCCTCTTGAACGTAGATGCAAAAATGATAATATGTTTACCAGGCAAGATCAGGCAATATATTACAAAGGTAATACATCACGAATGTGTTAGTCTGTTTTTGCATTGCTATGAAGGAATACCTGAGACTGGGTAACTAATAAAGAAGAAAGGTTTAATTGGCTCTCTGCAAATTGTACAGGAATTGTGGTGTTGGCATCTGCTTCTTGTGAGGGCCTCAGGAAGCTTACAATCGTGGCAGAAGGTGAAGGGGGAGGAGAGGGGAAGCAAGAAAGAGAGAGGAGGAGTAAGACAGAGAGAGGGAGAGTTGTTATGCTCTTTTATTTATTCATTTCTTTATTTTTTTATTTCTTAACTTTTATTTTAGATTTATTATGATCAGGAGAGATGGCTCATGCCTGTAATCCCAGCGTTTTGGGAGGCTGAGGCAGGTGGATCCCTTGAGGTCAGGAGTTCAAGATCAGCCTGGCCAACATGGTAAAACCCTGTCTACTAAAAATACAAAAATTAGCAGGGCATGCTGGCGGGTGCCTGTAATCCCAGCAACTTGGGAGGCTAAGGCACAAGAATCGCTTGAACCCAGAGAGCAGAGCTTGCAGTGAGCAGAGATGGCACCACTGCACTCCAGCCTGGGTGACACAGTGAGACTGAGTCTCAAAAAAAAAAAAAAAAAAGTTTATTACATAGTTCAACTCGTGTCATGCAGGTTTGTTGTACAGATTATTTCATCACTCAGATATAAAATCCAGTACCAAATAGTTATCTTTTCTGCTCCTCTCCCTTCTCCCACCCTTCACCATCAAGTAGGCCCCACTGTCTGTTGTTCGTCTCTTTGTGTCCATGAGTTCTCATCATTTAGCTCCCATTTGTAGGTGAGAACATGTGGTATTTGGTTTTCTCTGTTCGTCTGTTATTTTACTAAGGATATTGGCCTCCAGCTCCATCCATGCTCCTGCAAAAGACCTGATCTCGTTCTTTTTTATGACAGTAGAGTATTTTCCATGTTATATATGTACCACATTTTCTTTATCCAATCTGTCATCTATAGATATTTTGGTTGATTTTGGTTGATTCCGTGTCTTTGCTATCGTGAATAGTGCTCAATGAACACTCACATGTATGTGTCTTTATGGTAGAATAATTTCTATTTCTCTGGCTATATTCCCAATTATGGAATTGCTGGGTCAAATGGTAGTCCTGCTTGCTCTTAGCTCTTTCAGGAATTGCCATACTACTTTCCATAATGGTTGAACTAATTTATACTCCCACCAACAGTGTATAAGTGTTCCCTTTTCTCTACAACCTTGCCAGCATCTTATTTTTTTACTTTTACATAATAGCCTTTCTGATTGGTAAAGATTTCATGACAAGTATACCAAAAGTAATAGCAACAAAAGCAAAAATTGAAAAGTGGGATCTAATTAAACTTAAGAGCTTCTGCTCAGCAAAATAAATTATTAACAGAGTAAACAAATAACCTACAGAATGGGAGAAAATGTTTGCAAACTATGCATCTGACAAAGGTCTAATATCCAGCATCTGTAAGAAACTTCAACAAACTTACAAGACAAAAACAAACAACCCCATTAAAAAACAGGCAAAGGATATGAACAGATACTTTTCAAAAGAAGACAAGCATGTGGCCAACAAGCATATGAAAAAAAGCTAAATATCACTGGTCAGTACAGAAATACAAATCAAAACCAAATGAGATACCATCTCACAACTCTTTTAAACAGATTTTAAACCAGATCTCATGTGAACTCAGAGTGAGAACTAACTCATTACCACAAGGGGTCACCAATCCATTCTTAAGGGACCCACCTCCATGACCCAAACACCTCCCACCGGGTCCTACCTCCAATATTGGTGATTACATTTCAACATGAGATTAAGAGGGGACAAATATCCAAACTATATCAATGAACAAATAGAGTTCATCTCAGTAATACAAGGTTGGTTTCACCATTGAAAGTCAACCATGAGAATTCATCAATTTTAGAGTATAATAGAGAAAAGCCAGGTGACTATTTCAATAGATAAGAAAAAAATCACAAAATCAATTTTTCATAATATTCTCACAGTACAGTAGTGGGAAGAAACTTTCTCATTCTGATAAAGAACTTCTACCAAAACAAAACCAAGCCTACAGCTAATATCGTATTTGACGTCAAAATACTGAATACTTTCCCAAAGATTGGGACCAAGTTAAAAGTGCACAAAAGAGCCAATGGGGATGAAATGGGCTAGCTATTGACCTCAAGACCTTTTATAAAGACACTCATGCCATTCATGGGGGAACCCACATGTCCTGTTCACCTCCACCCTCATAGTCTCTAGGTGCTATCGCCCTATATGCAGTTATGATTGAATAGAGGCCCAGTTAAGGCAATAAACGCCTCAAGAATGAACAAGAATTACTTTTACACATGCACTGTTGGGTATAAAATGACATATATTTGATGCTAAGTAAGATTAGTCATTAAACATTTAAAAAACACAATTTAAAGTAAGAAAGGAGTAAATTTGGAAAATCAATCAACATAAACCTAGCTGGCAGTACTAAAATGCATCTAATATTTAATATTAACTTTATAAATAATCATATTTTACTACACATTTCAGGTGCAAATGCAATGTTTGTACTGTATTTATGATTGAACACTTTTCTGTTTCTCCCTCAGTTGAGTAAAATATTCTGGTCTCAATATAAATACATCATGTAAAATGTAGCATAGTGTCAAAACATGATATTCATATATAATTGTAAAAGCTAACACACAAATTACTCTTTTGACTTAAATATAATGAACCATAAGAAATTATATGTGGCTTACTTTTATTTAAATCAAAATCAAGGAATATATCATAATTTCTCTCTTAATGCTTCAGCTTTCTCTGCTATTTCCCAAAGACACCAACTTTACTAAGCTGCCTTTTGTGTTATTAATGTTAATAATGAAATATATTGGTCTCTTTTATAGGAAATTGAATAACCATGATGCTTTAGTTTTTCGTAAGGTAAACTGATGTTACAACAGAATTACTTTACCACTAATTGTAATGTTCTCAATGAGTCTGAATGTTATTCCTTTATATGTTTTAACTGAGTAATTTTTGAAAAGCAAATTTAAGGTTAAATTAGGGTGAACACGGCCAGGCGCGGTGGCTCACGCCTGTAATCCCAGCACTTTGGGAGGCTGAAGCGGGTGGATCAGGAGGTCAGGAGATCCAGACCATCCTGACCAACACGGTGAAACCCCCGTCTGTACTAAAAATACAAAAAATCAGCCAGGCGTGGTGGCAGGCGCCTGTAGTCCCAGCTACTCGGGAGGCTGAGGCAGGAGAATGGCGTGAACCTGGGAGGCAGAGCTTGCAGTGCGCCGAGATCGCACCACTGCACTCCAGCCTGGGTGAGAGAGCGAGACTCCGCCTCAAAAAAAAAAAAAAAAGGAAAAAAGAAAAAAGAAAAAATTACGGTGAACACTTGTGCTAGTTTAGTCCTGGTGTGTGCCCATTTTCCCAGTGTCCTGTCTGTTTAGTGCCTCCGCTCACTGTAAATGTGTTCTCGTTTGGATAATAAATTATCTTCACCCCAGGTAAAATACTAAGGAAATTAAATCCTTCTAAGAGGTACCAAGAGACGTGTATGGACTTATGAATAAGTAAATGGGAGTCTTTTCTAAGAATGACCTGCATCTTTCCTCTTGTTCCTGCCTCAAATATGTATGTTACCAAGTCACTTCACGGTCACAATCACAATAGGCTAGCTCTCTGGCAAAAGAAGAGGCAGGAAACTTCCAGGGAAACTGACATAAGGAGAGAAATGAAAGCTCTGAATGAGAACCCAAGGAAGAGACAAAGATAGCAGAAGAGAAACAGAAGCAAAAACCGCTATGTGCATTAAAAAAAGGTACAAAATAAATGCTACCAAGCAGTGAGGTCATGAATAAACACACCAGGCAATATGTTCTTTCTTCATCTAGAAGAGGGTGGGAATCCTTTTATCCTCTTGCAATCAGAGACCAGTTTCTTGTTAAGAAAGTATTTTGGTTATTGTACTATTTGAAACAATAAAGTTGTCTACATAATAACCATTTGCCTTCCATGCAAATGCGGGTGGTCCCTGTCTTATGACGGTTGAACTTAAACTTTTTTGACTTTATGATATGCATTCAGTAGAAATTCCACTTCAAATTTTGTATTTTTATCTTTTCCAGCAATATGCCTCTGACACTCTCTCAAGATTCTGGGTAGTGATGGTGATCCCAGCTCCCAGTCAACCACAGGGTCATGAGGTTAAACGACCAATACTTTACAATGAACTGTGATGTCCAATGAATTTGCCCACTGTAGGCTAATGTAAGTAAGTGTTCTGAGCACATTTAAGGTAGGCTAAACTGAGCTATGACGTTTACTACGCTATATGTATTAAATGCATTTCCCACTATGATATTTTCAACTTACAATGGGTATATCGGTGCATAACCCCATAGTAAATTGAGGAGGATGTGTAGTATTTTTACCCTAACATTACAAATAAGAGCTCACTCCTAAAATATAATTGTACTACACATAATAGAATTATACTTAACATGCAAATGTTTTTAGAATATATCATATACATAATTACTGAATACAGACAAACTGAAGCCAGGTGTAAAAATGAGATTTATATTTACCCACCATGTTTAACTGAGTAGATTTTCTAACCATTCTAGAGAAAAAGAAATTATATTTGAAAAGGTATTTGAGTTACTAACATCTGTAATTAATATCTTTCAACACGTATATGTTACAATGAATCTAACAGGCTCCTAAATATTTAATTACCATTATTCTAAATATTATCTAATTATATATATATGACAAAGATGCATTATATATATATAATACATTCTATAACAGGTCTAGTTACAAAAGTATCTCTACTTTCAAAATGAGTGAAATATACTTTATAAATGATATTCTGACGAGTATGTGTATCTTTTCTGAGGTGTCGCCCATCTATGTCAGCTGTGAGCCAACAACATGCAGGGTATATATTTCTGCCTTGCTCCACTATTAAGCTTAATTTTGGTAATTATTTTTGTTCTTTTTCCTTCAAACTTGTCTCTTTATACATTTTGAAAGAACATTAGCATAATCAGAGCATTCTGTAAGAAATTTATGAATATTAATCATCCCCCACTCCTAGCTCAGATAGATTAGTATTCAGACCAAGAAATCCATTTTCAAAATGACCAGTCAAAAAATTACTAATTCATATTGTGATTTGTTCATTTCTCACCTTTCCTCTAAAAGTCTATGGGGTTATGCTACATTAAATTCTCCTTACAGTTTATGATTTTATTATTTTTAGAAAGTAAAAAATATAAATATAGGACTGAAGATTTTGTTTGCATGTGTTTTTCTTCATAGTAATTTTCACACTAATATCAAGGTCAGGTGTTGTGCTTACATCATCTCATTTAGTTCTCACCACAGTACTGATTAGCATTCTCTCCATGCTTTCAAATAAAAAATTGAGCTTTCAAAGGATAATAACTCACCAAAAATCACATGTCTAGGGAACGCCAGAACTGGAATTCAAACTAGTTCTTACTTTTACATCAGTATTTTCCTGGTGGTATTTTCTGGGGGAGTGAAGTGGTGGTGGGGAAACTGGAAACAATTTAAATGCCTATAGGACATTTGCTAAGCAAATTACTGTCTGATATTAATAATGGGCTATCCAGTTAATAAAATGAAAGATTGACAAAAAATATTGACAAAATAAATATAACCCCTGAAGCTGATAACATTATTTCTTGGAAGGGGATTGGGTCAACCTGGAAATGGCAAGAAAAGAGGATCTTCTATTCTTTACTGTGTGTATATTTTTATGTGATGTGTTTTTTAAATGATATATGTGTATATTTATTATTTATTATAATACGTATTATTTATTTATATGTCATCTTTATGTTTTAGTATTAAAAAGGGAAAGAAAAATCCTATATATTCGAATCTGCTGGCTCCACAACCTTTCCTCTTTCTGTTAAAATATGATGCAGCTAAATGCTGTTCTCCTTCTTGATATGCTATAAACAGTTCATACAAGGAAAGAAAAATGACTTTACTAATTTAGTCTGACAACTGGCTCTAAGTATGACAGCAGTCAGGCTGGCTGGTGGACTTTGCTGACAACACATTAGCAAGGGGAAATTGGTTCTTTTGCAGTACAGGTGACTCATTCCTTCATCTTAGCCATAATGTCACTTGTGATTGAACTACCCTAATAAAAGGAACATACGTTTTCTTCTCTCTTGATGTTAGAAACTCCACATAATTAAAAATGGTGAAGTTAAAAATTGGTCATTATGATTTCTATGATATTCTTGTCTATCTGTTAGTTGATGTGGTTATAATAAACAGCCCCTTATCTCCAATGAGAAAGATTTAAACTTCATAGGATATTTGCATCACTTTTGACTCTACAGTTAAATTACTGAAAGCAGACTCTATTGTATCCTGTTTCCAATTCCAAGTAAATGCTTAGTGCTGTGACATGGTAATTGTCTCAGCATTCCACTTGCTTTGGAGTTAATCTGGTATTTGGTTCAGAGAAGGTCAATTCAGGCACAAACTGAAGAAATCTTTCTAGTCACAGAAGAAACAAACCAAATTACATCAGAAAGAAAGTTAAATCTAAAAAAAAATTAGACCTCTTAGGTAATCGCATAGTATTGCTGGTAATTTTCCAAAGTGGCCTTGTTCTAATTATAGAAAGTCATACATACAGGTATAATTTAGATCTCGGACATTAGTATTCAAGATACCTTCTTACAAATTGCATTGTGCTAGTTGTGATCCGACCAGGAATTAGGCTTCCTGCTGGTCTCCTACCTATATTACATCCACTTACAGCCAATCTGCCTAAAATCTCTGAGGAGAGGGCAGAAAAAATATCCCAGAAATGTTCTTTTCCTAGGGCTTCTGCTCTGAATCACATATCTGTTCTCCTACCTGAGTGGGTGTTGGATTACATTAGAACATAAAGAACACCTTTTCTCACTAATCCTTTTTAGCATGGCAGCTCCAAGAAAGTTTGCAGTTTCTTTCCCCCTGCCTCAGTGCAGAAGTACAAGTGCATATCACACCACTGCAAGCACTAGAGGAAAAAGAGTACAAGACAGATAAAGAGAATTTTAAAATTTTATTATTTCTCTAATAACTTTAGTTAATAATCCCAATTCATTTAAGAGAAACATGAATATTTTATTTGAACAGTGATTGTTACCGAAGGTGCTCTATTGAACCACTTTTCTCTGGGCCGTGGCAGGTGGTGGGGAGTAGCGTCCTCTGGTTCTTTTAATAATCCTAACCAATTCTAAAACTTTACAGTCGCATGCTGTAGAAAAATAGCCTCTATTCAATTAACTATTAGTCCTATTCCTTTTAAAGTGCAGTCTCATACAATTAAAGAGTCTTCTACTACGCAAAGAAAACTAGACTATTGACTATGGTCTATGAGGTAGAGGTAAGGAGAGCTGCGGTCTGTTCTCCTGCTTTTAACTTCCCTGTACTTGTCCCCTGGTGTTGCAGGAGGAGGAAGGGAAAGGAAAATACATTTTAGTTTTCATCATGGCCTATGGCAAAGCTTCAGTCTCTTTTCTTTCAGTTACCACTACTGCTAATGTTGCTTGTCCGTAGGCTCAGGGTAGGCAGACATGCACATCAACAGGCAGTAAAGACAGACTGTCCTTCTTAACTAGCCATGGTGAACTCTGGTGGTACTCAGTTACCTGATGACTCCTAGCTTTGAATCCCAGCCTATTTCCTTGGATATTTAGACTTCCCTTCTAAAACTATGAACATCTTCAGCTGGCTTACATTCCTCAATGAGATCTGTTATTGTGGTTCCCAGATCTAGTCACTATAGATGCAGAAAAAAGCCTATTCTTCGAGATAGTCCTTGCACAGTGGATCTTGTGATTCCAAACACACTACCCTCTCTAAGGCTCTTTGGCCTTCTGATAGAATGGGAGCAAATTAGTCCGGTCAACAAGTCTTTGGTTAAGCTGTTATTATTCTGGTATTGTGAGGTCTTTGATGGCAGGGTCAATGCATATCATTGTATTCCCACAGATATGCACAATTCCTGGCACAAAACAGGCATGCAGTAATTGTTTACATTTTGCAATGTAAACTCAGATATAATTAATGGTGATAGGTGTCTCAATGTCAGCAATAAAAAGCAGTCTTTCCCTTCTTATCAACACATCCAACCTTCTTGAGTAATTCTCTTGGCATCACCTTCTCCTGTCTTTAGGAGGAAAAACTAGTGGAGATAACATCTTTTTCATAAACAATGCATGCTCTAAGAAAGTCAACCACCTTCTCGTCTCAATTCTTTCCAATCACTGTAAGGCCGTCAAAGGAGTCCTGCGTATTTTTCTTTTACAACTTTAGGCAAAACCGTTAAACACTTTCTATTTCTGTGTGTTTTATTTTAAAATTAAAAAGTCATTATAATTTAATATTGAGGAGTATGTAAATAGAAATATAAGGCTTTTTGAGTATGGAATTTTGTCTCATTGAAAACCAGAGAAATAACTTTCTGATAGTTAAGAGTTTTCTGCACTGTAAAGTTGGAGACTAAATGATTTGTATTCTCTCTCAATGAGCCTGTGAGATGATGGATTCCCTAAATACTGAGAGATCCAGATGACCACTCTTTGTTCCTTTAGCATTCAATAGGTACAAGTTTACCCTGAGCATAAGCTATATTTGAAAGATAAACAATCATCTTTAGACATTGATTTGCTTCAGGTACTAATTTGAGAACCAATACAGTCAAATTTGCTCAGTTCTGTGAAAGGTGAAAAATAGAAATTGCTGTTAATATTTAAGTCATGGTTATACAAACTAACTTTAATTGTAAGTCATGTAAGTGGATTAAACTCTCTTAATAAATCACTTTTTCATTTTACTTGATGCCTCCATTCCTCATTGCATAATGGAGTAAACGTTTAGATGGTCCCTTTGTTGTAAATTGCTATGGCAGTGTGAGGTCTTTGATAGCAGAGGCAATGTCTATCATTTCATTCCCACAGATGAGCACAATTTTTGGTACAAAACAGTCATGTAGTAAGTGATTTTTAAGTTTAAAATTTTGAGTGTAAACTCAAATAAATTTATGGTAATCGAGTTTCAAAGCATGACTAAATACATGACACAAGAAAATATTTAGTCTTGGTATTAGATTTAAATATTTTTATGATTGTTAAATTGCAATTAATTATAACTTTAGGATAATAGCATCAACATTAACAACCTTATTGATAACAAAATTAATCTAAGCACCCTTTTAACACTAACTCTACATCAGTGAGTAAACTGAGCATTACCTAATTATTTATTCCTCAACAAAATACATAAAATAGGAAATATTTATTAGTTTTTTACAACTAAAGTGTTTAAATTACTATGACAAGATTGCAAAGCTAAGGCTGAGTGCTACAGTTGGAAATAAATTCAGGCATCTCTCTCTACAAACCCCCACTTTTAACCACAAGACTCCATGGTCTGGATAAAGCTTAAACTATGATTAAGCAGTCTAAAAGAATCTTACAAGATGAAATATATAATTTTGGAATGGAATTATAATCGAAAATTACACTCGGTATTATGATCAATATTTGAAGATTTAAGAAATAGGAATAATTTCTATCTCAATTTCATGGAGATGATAAAGAATAGGAAATGAAAAAATTAGGAACATGTCGTATTTCACTAGTTTTGGATCACTTTTTTTTTTTTGAGATGGAGTTTTGTTTTTGTTGCCCAGGCTAAAGCACAATGGCGTGATCTCGGCTCACTGCAACCTCTACCTCCCGGGTTCAAGCGATTCTCCTCAGCCTCCTGAGTAGCTGGGATTACAGGCATGTACCATCACGCCTGGCTAATTTTGTATTTTTAGTAGAGACAGGGTTTCTCCATTTTGGTCAGTCTGGTCTCAAACTCATGACCTCAGGTGATCTGCTCCCTCAGCCTCCCAAAGTGCTGGGATTATAGGCGTGAGCCACTGCGCCCGGCCTTGGATCACGTTGTTAAAAAATAAGCATTTTAGTGACCTGATTTGAAACAAGTAAATATTTTCTTTTCATCTCAAGCATACTATTAAGAACCTATTCCACAGTGATTTTTAAACTTAACTTTAGAGATCAAAGTTGTCTATAACTATCATCCAATTTACATTTTCAAGTGAAAATAATTTGGAAAATTCTGACTTGGAGTTAGAGATCAATAGTCCCCACTCCTTACAAAATGTTTATCATAAGTAAATCTTCCAAAGAATCAAGATAGAAGGTAATTTCAAATCTTTTTACTCAACATTAATATATAATCTTCATGCTATGAGTCATAAATTAAGACAGCTTATTATAGATGAATTTATGTAAATGTGTAGTGAAAGAGGGTCATGTTAATAATATTCCCAAACTATTATTATACGCCAAGCATAGCTTGTTATGGATTCATTCTATCATTTACTTCTGAGTGACAGTAGTTTATAGATTTCTTTAAAGAAAAATCAGTTGTAAATCCTTGAAAAAAAGTTAAAATTCAGAAAGTGCTATTCCTCATTGAGAAACTTCATATATGATGTTGCATTGAAGTGTCTTTAATATTATGTTTACTTAAAAGTTCTTTTTATAGGCTTCTAATCTCTAAAATAACAAAAATGACCAATATTATGACTTTCAGGGATTGAAATGCTAAATTTGAAGTCTTTGAATACACTGGAAATTTTAAAATTCTAAAACTCACAACAATATAAGAATTATGGTTTTATACTTGATATTGTTTTGGTTTAATATGACAATCCCTTGTTTTTGTGATTTAAGAATAGGTTTCTCATAACAAAGAAAGAAAGCTGAAAGTTGTTAACATTATTATAATATATTGTATTGAATTATGTTAGGTTAGGTTATGCTACAAATTCACATATTTGGCTCAAATTAGCTAAGACACCAAAAATTATCTAATAGAATACAAATATTCATTTTAAAATCAAGTTTACTAAGATGAAACTATTTATTTCATATGGCTAATTATTATTATTGTTCAATATTATCCTTAATGATTCTCACAAGTATTAATGGAGAGTTTCTTGCTAAATACTTTAATCTTTTATGTTAGTGTCAGGAACCTTTCTAAACTCCCTCTTGTGTGTTTTTGTTTTTTCTAAGCTTTATCGGGCATGATTCACAAAAAAACTTGCATATCTTTAAGGTATACAATGTGATGTTTTGATATACATATACATAGTAAAATGATTACTACAATCAAGCTAATTAACATATCCAACTTAAAACATAAATATGCATTGTTCATTTTTTAGTTTTTTCTTTTTCAGTACTTACAATTACTTTTCAAAAGGATTTTACATCATTATTAGATAAAAGAATAAGTTATAAATGAACATGTAAAGGAACACGGTTAGTTGTCAATAAGAAATTGTTACATCCTTATCACTTCTATAAATGAGTTATGTTGTTTCCAAAGCTGAACAATAACTTCAATAAATAAAAATATTTTTCGACAGCTAAACAGATTAATATTTTATAGCATTTTAGGAAGAGGTACCCTAGTTAGGAACACTATTTAATTGGTACTAATGAATATGTATCATTTGTGCTCCTATTGTTTTGACTTCTTGGCTGGGAAAAGCAAGCTATTATTTTGAGCAAGGTGAGATACGTATTTCTGTTAAGCCATTGCTTCATAGATTAACATTAGCAAGAAATCCTTGCAAAAGAAAGGCAATTGGAACACAGTTATTGAGACTTATTGCTCACTTTTCATTTACCCTTCTAAGGATCAACTTAACTAATCAATTTATCAACTAGCGACATATATTTAAACCTTTACTTAGAACTTTATTGTTCTTTCTGTTTTTGGTACACTTCAGAAATATAAAGAGAATGTTCATTGATAATTTCGTCTATTTTTAAAACCACATATAACACATATTTCAAAAGAACTTTACCTAAGGCAAAATTCTATTGTATGTTATTGAATATGAATGGTGAAAATATAAAATTTTCTAATGAAAACTGACTGGATTCAATGTTTCAGAGTGAAAATTTATCTTTCTTTTTTTAAATATATTATTAATATCAGAAATATCTTCCCTATGAGTGAACTCCATGCAAACAAAATATCTTCTGCGTTAGGTTTTGGAAGATAGCAGACTGAATACAGTTTTTGCCTAGCAAATGTTCTATGAATACTCTTTTTAATAGTTTGTCTATTGACATCAAAGAAATAAATCTTTTTTTAAAGTCTATTTAAAATTAACAATTATACAGCCAATCCTCATTCACAGATTTTATATTTTTGAATTTGCCTACTTACTAAAATGTATTTATAATCTTTAATCAATACTTGCAGGGCTTTGGCAGTCATTCAGGGACATGTGCAGAGGCCAGGATACACATGTCCCCAGCTAAGGTCACACAAGGCAAAGTTCTGCTTTCTTTTTTTAGCTCTCATACTATAAATAAGTGTCCCTTTTGCAATCTCTTTAGCATCACTGTTTTACATTTTTGTGGGTTTTGTGGGTGATTTTGGTATTTAAAATGTCTCTTGAGTGTAGTGCTGAAGTACTGTCTGGTGTTTCTAAGCACAAAACGGCTATGATGTGCCTTACAGAGGAAGTGTGTGTGTTGGATAAGCTTTGTTCAGGACTGAATTGTTGCACCTGAGTTCAATGTTAATGATAATATATATTAAATAAGATGTCTTCAAACAGAAACACATATAAAACAAGGTTATTAATTGATCGGTTGAGAAAAAATATCATGATCAGAAGCTCACAGAAATCTAGCCCTGTATTTTCTGTAAGCACCATGGTTCAGCATTGACAAATTCCATGTTCACAGCAATTTTATACAATGTAACTACTGCAAATAATGAGAATTAGCTGTATAACTAAGTAAATCAAATCCTGCTGAATAAATTAAACATCTGTTAATTTTTATATCTTTTTTTGTCGGTAAGGTATCTTCAACTTGATTATTATTCTTTATGCAAAAGGGTTAAAGTATGCTCTGAGCAATTGTAAAGAAATCTATTGGTATATGGTGATATGCTGTTTCAGAAATGCAAGTCAAATCATGTTTTCTCTCAGCTAAAAGGTGTTCTATGACCTTCCAAGGCTTAAAAGATGAAGCGCAGTTTCCTCATCATGGCATAAAAAGTTCAATCACAAGCCTAATACTTTCCTACCTCTCAAGCACTTGTCCTGATCATTCTCCCTTTTGCAGCTTCTGCACTGAAGTTCACATGCTATCCCCACTCCCTGTAAATGTTCTACTTGATCCTTGCCTAATTGTTGAACTTCTAAAACTCATCAAAATTCTCACTCCCAATGTTACTTTCTCTGTGACCATTTCTCTAAATTGCCAATGCAGAGATCATAACTTCCTTTTTTGTAATCCCATAGCATTTTGTAGTTTTCTTTTTTGTGCCTGTCTTTCTCATTGCATTGAGAGTTGCTGCACTTTGGTAGTTGCATGTTGGATGTATGGAATTACTCAGAGCACAATGTAATTGTTACATTTAAACCAATTTTCAAATTTAATCCTCATAAAACACCAGCAACAAAATCTATGCATTTCTATCAAGATTACAGCACCTTAGCATTCAACAGAATGGAGTAATCTTTTGAGGAGACATTAAGCAGGTGTTGGCCACTCCGTATGTAACCTACACTTTCTAAGAGTTCTATGGTGTCCTCATGGGGGATTATTCTCCCACCACTGTGCATGGGGCTTGGCAGGAGGGGCATTACCACTATGCCGCCTTTTACCACTGACATGCGTTTGAAATATAATTTGAAATTAATCTTATGCATCAAGGAAATTAGGACAAAATTTGGTAATTGCAGAAGCAACAGTGTCCATGTTAAGGCAGCGTTAGCAGGAGCAGTAGGAGCAGCCTCTGTTGTGCTAGCTAGAGGGATGGATAATGATGTTAGGCTCAGATGGCCAAGATAAATTCTGCAGTATTCAATATGCATGTAAACAATAACTGAGAAATTGGTACTTATAATGTGACTGTAGTCATTAGCATAATTTGATGGTTAAAAACCCTTGCGACCTAGGTAGTTTTGGCCATTTATTAATAATAAAAGCTAAGACTTTTTAAAAAATTGAAAGAGATAGATAAGAGACATATGGTCCTATCCATTCTTTGAAAATATAGGATTCTGAATAAGGCAGTGATACAGTTTGCCCAAAGTCACATAGTCATTGGCAAAGCTAGGCTAAAAGCCAGGCTTTTGAGGTTTAATTTGGTACTATATTTTATGATGCCATCATGCTTGCCAGATTACTTCTTACTCATTTTTATTTTTAGCATAATTTGAGAGTCTTTACTTTTTAACTTCTCTACTTAAAAAGAAGCCCTTATCATGTGTCATCACTTTTTAGAATAGATATTGAGTTTTGTAGATGTCATATATGAATATCATCATTAAAGATAATAAAATTCTTGTTTTAATATGTAAATAAGAATTGTAGAATGTAGAATCATATACAATGATATTGAAATTAGACTACAGTTCCAGCTATGATTTGAAAATTTCAATAATATTACCCTGCATACTGCCTTTATATGTTAACTCATTTTATGGATTTTTTACAAATATTTCTATTTTATGTACATTGGGAATTTTTAAAAGAAACATTTGGTTAGGTTATAACAGTCATATCAGATCAACTTGATGGGCAACAACTCTAAATAAAACCTAATTCATGATATTTATTTGAGGCCAAAATTTTTAAATAAGTTATGCAAGTTCAAAATTCATGAGGCAGTGAAATTTGCAGCCTTTTAAAAAAAATCCAGTCCAGATTTGGTGGCAACCATGTCTTCATCTCTATATATTTTCCAGTACTTTGGATCCATTAAAAGGATTCAGACAGGGCTTTGGTTTTTTTACTGCCATAACCACCATCAGAAAGGGAAATTAAAATTTCCCACAGTGGTGTCAATCTCTGCTTCTCAGTCCATTCTATTCCAGTCAGTCCATGCTCAAGTCCGTTCCAGACTTGGACTTAGAACAGCAGCACAGTTCGAGCAAGAAGCCACTACACAGCTTACCAAATTGCCTTCCTATGAAATATTTGTTTCCAGAGTTTGAGTATGCAATTTGCTTTATTAAACTCTCTGTTTTTTCCTATTTACAATAAAGTTTGAAGTATTTTACAACATAAAAATTTACAAGAGTGAAACATTCAGTTATAGAGAAATAGGCCAAAATGTTTAATTCTTTTCATTGGTCTAATGATTATCTAAAAGACAAAGGACAGTTTGATTTCAGAGGAGGTTATAAATACATGAATATGTAGTTCTTTAACCAAACTGTTACTTAAAATTACAGATGCCACTGCATAAATCTTTGCTGAGTGCAAAGAAATGTTTAAACTGTGTTTGATAATAAATTTCTGTAGGAAAAATTAAAGTCAACTCAGTAATTATGAAATTAGTAAATGTGAAACTAAATGCCATGGACTATTATCAAAATAGAAGTCTACAAAAGAGAAACATGTAGAGATAAAATATTTAAAATTATCAGAGCTAGATTTAAGTATATTCTTCCACAAAACCTACACATAATAAGCAATGATACCATGGACCCAAATAATTTACAGTATCATGCATTTTACATATTGTAGGATCGTTTCAAAAGCACATCTACTTGTCTCTGAAAACAAACCAAAGGTTTTTGTCCTAGATAAAAGAGTACCAAAGAAAATATTTGGCAAAGCGTGAGTCAGCAGTTTCCTAGATATAGCCTTTTCTCTTGGTTAGCATTTTGCCCTGTTTACTATCTTTTTTGTTCCTAAATAGCTGCAGATAAAGGAGGCGTTTACCTTTTGTATAAGCTAGGATGCTTTTAGCTACAGAAATGGAAACTCTAAAAAGAGCAGTTTAAACAGTACATAAATCGCTTGTCTTTTTTAACAACAACAAAACCAGAAGAAGTGGCTTCAGAGATGGTTAGCAGGTTAATGCTGTCATCAAATAATCATGTGTCTGTTTTTCTAGGGTCAGTGCGACATTCTAGCAAGCCTGGAATTGGTCTGGGTTATTACTGAAATGAGAATTGCACCTTCAGACACTGTAATCAATGTATGAAACACACTGTTGAATACTGTAACCTTGTAACCATGAAGTTGGAGTTTCATGCAGCATGTACCGGCTTGTTTGCATTGCTCAGAGATAGCAGTGAGATTGATGCTATCTATGCACCTGGTCTCAGGATTGATGATGTGCCCAGAGACTCCCAGAGGACACTCCAATTGGGCTGGTTATGTAGCAACGATACGTTTAGGCCATCAGCAGAGAAGAAATCCCAGCTGAGACTCTATTTTGGGCACCCTAGTTTTGAGGGGCTTTACTACACGTCAGGTGGTTTCTGATCCAAGATAGCATGTCAGGAAGACCTTTACAGAGGAAGAATTGGATTTTGAACCTGGTGTCTGGTGACTCCTTGCTGTGAGAGAAAGCCTTCAGCAGTGATTCATATCCTTACTTTAACACTGTTATGCTATTGTAGCTTGTTCCTGAAATAAAGGGTAGATTTGTAAGCACTGTCATTTGAGTCTTGTGGGTCAGGGCCTGGACTAGGGTGATGCAAGTACAGAGTAAGTATCTCCTAAAATTTTCTGGTCTCAGCTTTGTTGTGGGTCTTCAGTGTCAATCAAACTCGTTGTCACCATTAATCAAGTCGACTTCATCCTCAAGCTAGTTTACTACTGTCACAACATACCTACCAGTGGCAGTGGAAGATCCATACTTTCTCCTTCATACACAGCAAGAGACAAAACTTTGACTCCAGCAATGAACTATCAATTTTTCTTTTAATTCCCTTAATCTGGGATATTTCACCTCAATCACTAGGAGAATGCCAGGTCTTTGTTAGTTTACTAATCAGGATGGCTCTATAGAGCTGGTGTTAGTGTGAGTAGCTGGAAAGAAAAAATATTAACACAGAATTCTGTTAAGGAGGAGAAAAGAGGGAGGTCTGTGTTCACTTGTGCAGGCAACAGTGTCCACTTTGCCTTCTTACTGGCAGAAACATTAACTTAAAAGGGAATACACGCAGCTTATGAGTAAAATGCCAAATACTTCTAATTAAAATTAATGTTCTCCCACTTTTTATTTTCATGAGTTAACTTATGGGCTTAACTAAAAGTTTTCCTAAGAAAACCTTTCTATATTAATGCCTAATATACACCATTCACATAATAAAAGATCAATATCAAAATGTAGTAGCAAATAACATAGCTAAGGCAGAGAATTTAAATTAATGGCACTGGTGCTCACTCAGGTGTCAGGTGTTACCGTTTTTCTTTTATTGATTTCCATAAAACAGAGTAAATCAGATATTTGAATATTACTAATTTCTTGCCATAGGCATGGTATTTTACATGATTTAAAAATATATTTTAAAAGTGCATCTAAGGTCTTATTAATGCAATTATTCTGCATTAAAATCTTATTCATTTGATTTGAAACTATTTAAAATTCAAATAATGCATGGTAATAATACTATTAAATGTTTTATAAGATTTTGCAGCATGAAATCCTTCACCAGCAACTACTCATTTCAATGATTATAATACAGGAGTTATTAAGAAATAATTTTTAGGTAGCTAGAAAGGGTGAAAGTTCATGGTGAAATTCTCCTTTAATGAAAAGCAACCACCTAGGCCAGGCACGGTGGCTCACCCTGTAATCCCTGCACTTTGGGAGGCCGAAGCAGGTGGATCACCCGAGGTCAAGAGTTCGAGACCAACCTGGCCAACATGATGAAACCCTGTCTCTACTAAAAATACAAGAAATTAGCTAGGTGTGGTGGCAGGCACCTGTAATCCCAGCTACTCAGGAGGCTGAGGCAGGAGAATTGCTTGAACCTGGGAGGCGGAGGTTGTAGTGAGCCAAGATTGTGCCACTGCACTCCAGCCTGGGCAACAAGAGTAAAACTGCGTCTCAAAAAAAAAAAAAAAAAAAAAGGAAAAAGCAACCCCCAAACCATTTCCTTTCTAACCGAAAGAAGTTTGAAAAACCGGAGCAGCAAGCATTGATATGCAAATGCCAGTGGCTAGAAACCAGGTCCACCCAATATGTCCGTTCCCATCCTCTTCTCCTTGTACCACCTGTGCCAGGTGTCATGGCCACCTCCAGATAACACCACGTGTGCAGGACATCATGGCAACCCACATTTGCATATTAAAAGACTAGGGTGGGAGGGCCAGTTTTTTCCACTGGCTACGTGAATGACACACCTGGTCAAACCAAAACCCTGGGCTCTATGCAAATCAGGCACTGCCTCCTCCAGCCTCCCAATATAACCTACTGCTTTCTACTACACGTGGGGCTTCTCTGTTCAGAGCCCCCCTACCTCTGTATGGGGCAGCTATTTTCTTCTTGCCTATTAAACTTTCTACTCCTTAAAACCACTCCACCTGCGTCCATGTTGCTAATTTTATTGATATGAGACAAAGGACCCTGATGTTTCTCTAGTCATCAGAGCCATATCAATTATTCATTTTATATTGCATTGTATACTTCAAGGATTATAAAAATGCCACTTGTAGTTTGTAAAATCATATATAAGTAAATAAGAATATGTTACAAATTAACTATGTTACAAATAAATAAAACTATGGTTCATACAATATGGTAAGGAAATGAAAACACATACAAATAAACTTGAGAGAGAATGAGTACCAAAATCAAAAAGTCTAGGAAAGAAGCCATCTATATAACTTGGAAATCCTTGTTAAAAATCTTCAAATTAATGTTTTGAATGTTTTATTATCAGAGTGAATTCATGTACATAATGACCAATCAAATAGCATAGAAGAGCTTAGGCTAAAGAACAGATAACCCTGTCTTTCATCAACCCTGTTTTCGCTTTCAAAAGACTTTTTCTTGTAGCCATTTGTCAATATTTTTGGTAGTTCTATCTAAAACTATAAGTAACATACATATCATTCTATTTTGTCTCTACATTGTCAGTCATTTTACATGCATTATCTATTTCATAGATTCTCTCACTTTTCCCAGGGGTCTGCTGCTCTTGTCTGGACAGGTCACTGCCCAAGCCCTCTGCACAGCTATCAGCCTAGGCTGCCCTTTACTGCCAGCCCTCTTTGAGCTACTGTTTCCTGGAGCCCAATGGATACTCAAGATAGTCACAGAAAGAGCATGTGGAAGATTTATGTGCTAAATCACTACATGCCTCAAATTATTTTTATTCTGCCTTTATGCTTCATTGAGATTGATTGGAAAAAATTTCTAAGTTCTAATTTGATTTTCCTCAGAAATATAAATTTATTGCTCTATTGTCCACCATCCAGTCTTAAAGAAATGCCTACAGCCATTTTCATTTTTGTTCTATTGAAATTAATATTTTATTTTTTCCTCTTTGGAAGCTTATACGTTCTTATGTTTGTCCTTGGAATTCTGAAGTTTCAAGATAATGTCCTCAAATGGAGGTAATTTTTTTATTCATTGATCTGGATATTCAAGAGGTCCTTTCAGTGCAAAGACTTACAATTTCTTCACATATGAGAAATTATTTTATATTTTCTCATGATCATTTCCTACCCTCTATTACCTTAGTCCTCTTTTTCTATGACTGGCCATTGTCTTTTGTGCTACTGGTCTGCACTATACCCAGGTATTCTTGATGGTATGTTTTAAATTACGGAAGGAAGCAGTGGGTGGGTTTCTTCTGCTGTTGTGTTGTGGTTTTTTTTTTTTTTTCCACATCAAATCTCTCTCTGAGGAGGAGGTTTTACCACTATATCTCTGCAGTGAGGAATAGAAAAGGCAAGGGGGTGATTATAGGCACTCTAGCAAAGAGCCCATTTGATTCAACTCCTTTTTAGAAGAGTCCCCAGTTACTGCTTCCATCCCAAGTGCTAATTATCAGAGTGCTGGTGCTCTGAGTTAACAATGGGTAGGTGTACTAACTAACAAAATAGAGCTTTACACAGACCTCCAGGTAATCCTCCTATTTATAGCCACATGTGCCACTCCCTCTTACTCACTAGCTCTGAGATCAGAGCCCCTGGGAACTGCAGAGGAGATGTGAATGACAGCCGCTCTCCACTGCAGGTTCTTCATGAAGTATTTTGAGCTGCAGCTTCTAGGCCCAAACATTTAGTCTTTCAATGTGTCCCACCAACATTCTCTCTTCCATAATTTTTCTGCAATCTCTCATTGTTTGCTGATCATCTGCTTTGATCTTTTTGCTAAGTGTGTTATGTTTTGTCCTTTTCCTCTTTTATTCCAAGATAGAAGGCAAAAAAAAAAAAAAAAAATGGCAGGCATTTTGACTTTCAATGCCTACATTATGTTATTAAATACCTGTTTTCCTTTAAATTATTTTTTAAACTTTTAAGTTCAGGGGTATCAAATTATTTCTGAAAGTAATTTATTATATGGAACAAATTTATACTGAAACCAGCCTAGAGAGATTTACTAAAGGAGATTAATTTATTTTAAATTATGATTTTATAATGTGCTTATTCTATTCCTGTTGTGGGGAAAATCACTTTCTCCTTTTCAGGATGGTAAAATCAGTCCCTATCTCAAAATAAGCAGAAAATCTATCCTGTCCCTACATCTGCCAAAGATATAAAATAAATGTCTCTAATTATTTCACCAAAATGGAAAGGATATAATAGACAAAGTTATAAAGTTCAGAAAACCGAGCAGCGGTTGCTAGAAAGACTTTAAAAAGCAAGAAGAGATGTTTTTCTGAAATTACCGGAGAACATGTTATGATGTTCTCTGATTAAAAAAAGAGAAAAATATCATACACTATGTCTATGTAGGAAGCTGCAAGATTGGTCTACAAAGCCATGAGAATAAAAATTGCAGTTTAATGAAATCTTGGAGAGTTGGAACCAAATTAAACTGATACAAAGCCCTGAAGCTTGAGAAAAATAGAGCCATTTCCTTATTTAGATATACCAAATCCATATAGTCGATAAACATGATATAATTTCAACAGTTACCATTTTGTTAGTTACTTTCCATGAGACACAGCTTTAAGCACTGTGCTGATAGCACAACTCTTTGAAGTAGGTATTATTATTACAATTTAGCAGATGAGATAGTTAAAACAATACACATTAACTAATGTGTGCAGGTGACATAAGTAGTAAGTAGCATATTAAAAACCCTGCATATGTGAATCATCAACAATCTGGAAGCCATTATCCTAAATGAATTATTGCAGGAGCAGAAAACCAAATACCACATGTTCTGACTTATAAGACGGAGCCAAACATTGAATACACATGGACACACAGATGGAAACAACAGACACTGAGACTACTAAGGGGCAGACAAGGAAGGGGGCAAGTGTTGAAAAACTACATATTGGGTACTATGTTCACTACCTGGGTGATAGGATCACTTGTACCCCAAACCTCAGTGTCATGCAATGTACCCATATAACAAACATGCTCATGTATCCCTGGAATCCAAAATAAAAGCTGAAAATAAAAATACTCATAATCATCTAATTGTTCTCTACCCAGGCTGCACTTTAGAATTCTGCCTGAGAAGCTTTAAAAGAAAGAACAGAGATGGGAGGCATAGAGGGAGGGAGGGAGGGAGGAAGAAGAGAGGGAGGGAGAGAGGGAGGGAGGGAGGGAGGGAGGGAGAGAGGGAGAGAGGGAGGGAGGGAGGCAGGAAGGGAGGAAGGGAGGAAGGAAGGAGAGAAGGAAGGAGGGAAGGCGGGAAGGCAGGCAGGCAGGCAGGCAGGCAGGCAGGCATAGGGCCTATCATTTTCTAAGATTATGCTTTAGATGGTTTGGAAAATGTCCAGGCTTTGGTGTTAATTTTAGAGAGATATTTAGGGCATTCTAATATACAGCCAGTGATGAGAACCACTGTCCTAAATCAATAATTCTCAAGCTTAATGTGCATATGAATCCCAGGGGAAAGTTATTAAGATGCAGGTTCTAAGTCAGGAAATGTTGTTGAAGCTGACTGAAAACTAAAATTCCCTGGGCCATAAGCAAAGTCACCTGTAAGTTACCTTGTATAACAAGCTTCTTTGAGGAATGTCATTGAAAGAAGGTCTTTTGTTACTAAGAAAAAGACTTAGGATAAATAGCAAAAAGGTTTTCATTCAATTACAGAGAAAGTATGTATCATTTAAAAGTATCCCTCAAGTAACACTTCAAGTAGAGAACCACGAAATTTATGTGCAGACAGGAAAGAGCTGGGAGAGGAAAAATTGAGAGTCTTCAAGTAAGAAATGGGTCAGGAGAAGTGATACTGTGAGCACAAAAGGAAGTGTTAACATCGAACAGAAAGAAAGTCACTGTTCCCCTGAAATTGGAAGAATAACAGGTGCCAGTCAAAACACGTTGCTTCAGGGTAGGCAGAATACTGATGGAGTTTTCCTCTGTTCATCCTTGTTGGTTCTGTGAAATAAGAGTAATGTTTTACTGAGAAGAATATTTGTAGAATTGGGATCTTGAGGAAAAGATAGAAGATTAGGATAATTGCCAAGAGATTAAGAGAATGATCTGACTAGAAACAACTTCAAGGATTGCCAGGTAGAAATGTGGACAGAGCTCTGGCTGGGCTGGAAATCATGAATTTGTGAAGGCACCACACAATTTTAATGTCTCCTTTAAACAGCACTTCACAGCACTAAGCTGATGGATGGATTCAATCAAAGATGGGGCTTTGTATTAGAAAATAAGTGTTAGAATATAATTGTTGTTATTGCATATTAAATATTTAAATTATATTTCCCAAAGATCTCTTTGGAAAGGTAAAAGAAACAAGCCATATAAAAACCCTGTAGTTAATAGTATTGATAGGCCTTAGTATTTATTGGAATCTCAGAAAATTTTAAATAAATCAATAGCAAATAATTAGGAAAACCCCATAAGATTAATTTAAAAAGATAAGTCTCGGTAGTTAAAATCTGACGTACTGTCTGTTAAAAATTAAAACATGTATTAAAGTCTCTACAGAAGGAAGCCAGTATTTACTTCCAAAGGCACAATGAGAGAGTTTGCAGGCTGCTTTAGAAACAATGGTCATATGCAGTGACTTCATGAGTGACAGTCCCAGAACTGACAAATGTATCCACACAAATAATTTTTAATATGCACTTTTCAAAAAAGAAAAATCTAATTAGTGTGAAATACTTATAAATGTCTTCCTGCCACCCACCCCGACCCACACACACACACCGCCCCTGCTGTCCCAAAGACAGCAGATCCGAAGCATTGTTAGCATTCCTCTCCCACTTGCAGAAACAAAATAGTGTGTAGAGATTCATGCTGTGAACTTTTTCCCATGAAGCAGTATGGGAACTTAACAGGAAAACTGTACAAAACCGCAGACCCTTTAAAAGAAACAGCAGGCTGCAGCCTACATTGTGAGCCAGGCAGAAAACTGTGAGTCCCCAGAGTATGAGCAGGGAGAGACTGTGTCTGGGATACACACCCCCACTGGGGAACCTGGCAATCCAAGCCACAGGGGAAAGCCTTAACCCTACCCAGCACTGGAACTAATTTACTGAAAAGTGGGAGTGTATGAGAAGGAGTGGCATTGGGATGTACTTTGCATGCACTCCCAGCCTCTCCAGGAACAGTGAGAAGCCATTCCTGATCCTGCCTCACACGGTACCTCCCAGAAGTCGGCTAGCTCACTGAGGCAAGACTTGGTGAGAAGCCAAGTGCAGTGGCTCACACCTGTAATCCCAGCACTTTGGGAGGCCCAGGTGGGCTGATGCTTGAATTCAGGAGTTCAGCCTTGGCAATGCGGCAAAACCCTGTCTCTACCAAAAAAAAAAAAAAAAAATACAAAAATTATCTGGGTGTTCTAGTAAGTGCCTGTAGTCCCAACTACTTGGGAGGCTGAGGTGGGAGGATCACTTGAACTTGGAGGCAGAGGTTGCAGTGAACTCTGTCTCAAAAAAAAAAAAGTTAGTGAGAGAAGCTCCCAACTGAGATTCATGATATAATCTTGAATGGGGGCTAACCCCCTTAGCCAAAACCAAGGAGCAAGTGTGAAGTGTGCAATATATAGCCACAGTGAGGGATCTGGGCACCGTGCTTCAGGGGCATAAGGGAAGTGGTGTGGCCCAAGAGCCATGATTTCTGTTTCAATGAGGAAGCCTCGTGGCCTGGGGCAGCTTGGGGTTCTAAGCACAGGCTGCCTGGACCCCAGCTAGCTGCTGCTAGTGGATCACTGTGGGTTCCATTAGCACTATGCACTCACCAAGTGCATAGGAGCTGGGTGGAGCTTACTGCTGCCTGCTACCCTCCATTCCACATGAGGATTCTTTTGTGCAGCAGAGGCAGCGGCGCTCCTCCTTGGAACATTATCTCAGTAGCCAGAGAACTGCCCTCTGATGCCACTGGGGCCTCTGCTTGCTCCTGCATGTGTGAAGCCAGAATATGAACTTGCCTAACCCAACCCCCACCTGGCTTTGCCCCTCCACTCATCACAGTAGCTTAACACAAAGGACAGGGACTTTTTGAAGCTCTATGGCCCCACCCATTGCCTGAGACACCAGAGTACCTCCCGTGTGTAACATAGGGCAAGCACAAATCCTAATGCTACTACCACAGCTGGTGCTCTTTTGCAAGTGCCATCTCCTGGCTGGAAGCCAACCAGCACAGTTCATTATAGCATCTGCAGGCAGAATGACACAGTACCAAGAAGGGAGGAAGCTTTTGCATGACCTCAGCTATCAACACTGCCTGCATCACCCTGGCTAATCAGGAAGTCTTGAGTCTGTCCATACAACCAGCTCATTACTACTACAACTAGCATTTGAGAAAGCCAATATACTAAGGCTATTTATAACCAAGGAAATTTCACAGAGTCTGTGTCACTCACCTGCCACCCTCATCAGAGCTGGCGCTGGTACTCAGTGCTGGGAGATTAGAGAACAAGTCACATCACTGGATTCCTTGCAGAAATTCCCAGCCTAAAGTGTGGCAGCTTCACTGGGTAGCAAGACCCAGAGGAGCAGCAAGATTCACAGTAGTCTGTCCCTTAGTGTGACAGGAGTTATTAAGAAATTATTTTAGGCAGATAGAGAGGAAAAGGGGTCCTTGGAAAGTTTTTGTCTCTTTTAAAGCAGCTCCAGAAATGTTTCTTGTTTAGCAGGAAAGCCCCAGATCTTAGAGCCTGGCAGCAAGCTTTGATATGCAAATGCTGGGCATTAGAAACTCGGTCCACCAAAACATGGCAATTCCCATGCTCTTCTCCCTGCCCTTGCCCCCACAAGTGCCTGGCAACATGGCCACCCTGACATATCTCTATACGTGTAGAACATCATGGTGCCCCACATTTGCATACTAGAAGGCTAGGGTGTGAGAGCGAGGTTTTTCGCGCACTACATGAGTGACATGCCTGGTCAAACCAATCCCCAGAGCCCTATGCAAATCAGATACCACCTCCTCCAGCCTACTCATATAAGCAGCCACTTTTCCGTGGCACAGGGAGTCTCCTCTCAGCCTTGGAGCCCTCCTCCTTATGTCTCTGTACAGGGGAGCTTCTTCCTTCTTTCTTCTCCCTCCCTTCTTGCCTATTAAACTCTCTACTCCTTAAAACCACTCCACGTGTGTCCGTGTGGCCTTATCTAATTCGGCATGAGACAAGAGCCCTGGTGTTCCTCCACTCATCAGAGCCGTATCATCAGATCCCCTACTCCTAAGGGAAGGGGGGGTGCACCTCATCAAAGGAGTACCTTGTGAGACAAAATAATTCAGACTGCAGACCTTGAGTTTCCTAACTTTACGCTTGTGGAAAATTTCTTTCAGCAGAGACACAGGTGTGCTGGTGGGCCTAGTGGGGAAAGTCTATGACTGTATCTCCAGTGGTCAGGCAGCCCTGGTACTCATGAAGGGTTTTGAAGAAGGGAATTTATTCTCCTCCTCACTCACCACTGCAGACACACAGAGTTTTGACATAGGTGCACCCATAGACAGACTCTCTGGAACACTTCAGGGTGACTACATCCCCACAGGAGGAGTGTACTCTAGGTTCAGGCTTGCATGAGGAGTAGAGTCACAATCTCTCTCTACACCAAACATCAGCATTCCTGCAGCTGAAAAGAGGTGCCTGTCTCATCTGAATAACCAGAACACTGGGTCAGAAGTGTGACTGTGAGGTGGAAAGCTTTCCTTCTGGTGTGGTAGGGGAGCTGAGATGGCTCCCTCTCTTCTCCCTGTAAAGACCTCAGTGTGTTTAACTGAGAACTCTCCTGGCTGTTTCTGTCAAGGCTGGGACCTCTGCCCACAATTGGGGTATTGTGTTTATCCACTTGCTTCAGCTGCAAGCAGTTTTTACCTACAGACACTTCTTACTGGGCCGAAACTTGAACTGTTCAACCCAGTGAGTAGAATACTGGAAGAATGAATGAATGAATGAATGTATGAATGAGTGAATGAATGAATGAATTTCACACCACTGGGAAATAAGATAAGCTTCATGAGACCTCTGTTATTCTGGTCCCATGGAAGACAGTGAACCTGTTTCACACACCAAGTATACTGCTACTACAACCATCACTGGAGAAAGCCATTATACATAGACTGTCTGTAACCAAAGATTTCATATGCAGTCTTCATTATTGAAAGCACTCAGAGGCAAATTATGTTACAATAAACCATAATCATTAAAGTTATATTCTCAAAGGGAAAAAAATTAAAAAATACAATTATCAAATATAAATTCAAAAATATTTGGAAGAAGTAAGAAGAAACCAGAAAAAGAATTCTGGCAATATGACAAGGCAGGGTTCTATGACATCCCCAAAAGATCACAGTAGCTCTCCAGCAATGGATCCAAACCAAGATGAGCTCTTTGCAATACTAGATAAAGAAATCAAAAGGTTGATCATTAAGTTACTCAAGGAGATACAGGAGAAAGGTAGACACCAACATAAACAAATTTTTAAAAATGATTCAGAATATGAATGAAAAAGTTTCTAAAGAGATAGATATTTTAAAGAAAAACCAACCAGAACTTCTGGCAATCAAAGAAACACTTAGGGAATCCCAGAATGCAGCGGAAAGTTTCAACAATAGACTAGATCAAGTAGAAGAAAGAATTTCAGAGCTCAAAGACAAGGCTTTCAAATTAACCCAAGCAGACCAAAATTAGGAAAAAAGAATTAAGAAAAATATTAACAAAGCCTTCAAGAAATATGAGATTATGTAAAATGGCCAAACCTAAGAATCACTGGTGCTCTTGAGGGAGAAGGAAAAGCAAAACATTTGGAGAACTTATTTGAGAAAATAATTGAGGGAAACTTTCATGGCTCAAATAAATGAAACTCAAAGAACTCCTGGCAGTTCATTGCAAAAAAGACATCACCGAGGCATACAGTTATCAGATTATTTAAAGTCAATGTGAAAGAAAGAATTCTAAGCGACATGAGACAGAAGCATCAGGTAACCAATAAAATAAAACCTATCAGACTCAGAGCAGACTTTTCAGCAGAAACCTTATAAGCTAATAGGGATTGAGGTCCTATCTTTAGTCTCCTTAAACAGAAAAATAGCCAAGAATTTTGTATCCTCCAAAATTAAGTTACATAAATGAAGGAGAAATAAACACTTTTTCAGATAAGCAAATGCTGAGGGAGTTTGTCACTACCAGATCAGCCCTACA
Organism: Homo sapiens; assembly: GCF_000001405.40. Lineage (NCBI taxonomy): Eukaryota > Metazoa > Chordata > Mammalia > Primates > Hominidae > Homo > Homo sapiens. Next base: position 187,998,030 of record NC_000002.12, read on the forward strand.
AGCAATGCTAAAAGGAGTTCTAAATCTTGAAACAAAATATTGATATGCACCAGAATAGAAACTCTTAAAAGCATAATATTCACAGGGCTTATAAAACAATAACACAATGAAGGAAACAAAGTAACTAGGTAACAATCAACATGTTGACTGTCACAGTAACTTACTTCTCAATATTAACATTGAATGTAAATAGCCTAAATGCTCCCCTTAAAAAATACAGATTGGCAGAATGGATAAAAAAAAAAATCACAAACCAAATATCTACTGTCTTCAAAACACACATCTGACTGGTAAGAAATTTTATAGACTCAAGGTAAAGGGATGGAAAAAGAGATTCCATACAAATGGAAACCAAAGCAGGAGTAGCTATGATTACATCAGATAAAACGGACTTTAAAGCAACAACAGTAAAAAAAAAAAAAAAAAGACAAAGAAGGTAATTATCTAATGATACAAAAAGATCAATTCAACAAGAAGGTATAACAATCCTAAATATATATGCATCTAATTACGGAGCTCCCAAATTTATAAAACAATTACTACTAGACCTAAGAAAAGAGACAAAAAAGAACACAGTAACAGTGCGGGACTTCAACACTCCACTGACAGCAATAGACAGATCATTGAGGGAAAAAGTAAACAGAGACACTGGATTTAAACTATATTCTAGAGCAAATAGACCTAACAGATATTTACAAAATATTCTATCCAAGAACTGCAGAATATACCTTCTTTTCATCAGCACATAAAGCATTCTCCAAGATAGACTATATCACAGGCTACAAAAAAAGACTTAATAAATTTTTAAAATCAAAATTATGTCAAGTATCTTCTCAGACAACAACAGAATAAAACTAGAAATTAATTCCAAAAGAACCCATCAAAACTATACAAATACATAGAAATTAAGCAATATGCTCCTGAATGATTTTTGGGTTAACATGAAATCAGGATGGACATTTTAAAATTCTTTGAAATATGTGATAACAAACAGTGATACAAATTATCAAAACTTCTGGATTACAGCAAAAGCAGTGAAAAGAGGAAAGTGGTTAGTGCTAATGCCTACATCAAAAAGCCTGAAAGACAACAAATTAACAACCTAACCTCACGCCTCAAGGAACTAGAAGAACAGAACAAACTAAACCCAAATCTAGCAGAAGAAAATAATAACAAAGATCAGAGCAAAACTAAATAAAATTGAAAACAAAAAAAAATACAAAAGACCAATGAAATGAAAAGTTGGTTTTTTGAAAAGATAAACAAAATCAATAGACCACTGGATACATTAACCAAAAAAAGATTCAAATAAGCTCAATAGAAATGAAAATGGAGACATTACAACTGACACTGCAGAAATGCAAAAGCTCATTTGAGACTACTGCGAACACCTCTATGCCCAAAACTAGAAAATCTAGAGGAAATGGATAAATTCCTGGAAACATACACTCCTCCTAGCTTGAATCAGGAAGAAATAGGAATCCTGAACAGACCAGTAAAAAGCAATGATATTGAATCAATAATAAAAAACTTGCCAACAAAAACAGACTGATTCACAGCCAAATTAAACCAGACATTCAAAGAAAAATTGGTACCAATTCTACTAAAACTATTACAAAAGACTGAGAAAGGAGAGAATCCTCCCTAATTTTGTATGAAGCCAGTATCACCATGATACTAAAGCCAGAAAAGGGCATAACAAAAAAAGAAAACTACACACTAATATCCTTGACGAACATAGATACAAAAATCCTCAACAAAATACTAGCAAACTGAATCCAACAGCATATTGCAAAGATAATTCACCAAGATCAAGTCGGTGTCATCCCAGGGATGTGGGGATGGTTCAACATATGCAAGTCAATAAATGTGATTCATCACATAAGCAGAATTACAAACAAAAACCATGTGATCATCTCAATAAATGCAGAAAAAACATTCAGTAATTTCTACCATTGCTTTATGAAAAACGCACAAAAAACTAGTCATAGAAGGAATATACCTAAAATAATGAAAGCAACATATGACAGATTCACAGCCAACATCGCAATGAATGAGGAAAAGTTGAAAGTGTTACCCCTAAGAACTGGAACAACACAGGATGCCCACTTCCACCTCTTCTATTCACCACTGTACTGGAAGTCTCAGCCAGAGCAATTGGGCGAGAGAAAGAAATAAAGGGCATCCAAATTGGAAAAAAGAAAGTCAAACTATTTCTGGTTACTAATGGTAAGATTTTATAGCTACAAAACCCAAAGATTCCTTCAAAAGACTCCTGAATTTGATAAATGAATTCAGTAAAGTCTCAGGTTACAAAATCAATGTACATAAATCAGTAGCACTGACAGCTGAGAATCAAGCCAGGAACCCAATCCGTTTTACAATAACTTAAAAAAGAAGAAGAAGAAGAAGAAGAAAACTAGGAATATTACTGAACCAAAGAGGTGAAAGATTGCTATAAGCAGAACTACAAAACACTATTGAAATAAATCATAAGTGACACAAACAAATGGAAATACATCTTGTTCTTATGGATTGGAAGAGTCAATGTCATGAAAATGACCATACTGCCCAAAGCAATCTACACATTCAATGTAATTCCTATCAAAATATCAGCACTTTTTTTCACAGAACTAGAAAAAAAATCTCAAATTCATGTGGAATGAAAAAAGAGCCTGAATGGCCAAAGCAGTCTTAAGCGAAAAGAACAAATCTGGAGACACCACATTACCCGACTTTGCATGATACTACAAGCCTATCGTAACCAAAGCAGCATAGTTCTGGTATAAAAGTAGATACATAGACAAATGGAACAGAATAGAGAACCCAGAAATAAAGCCAGATACTTACAACCAACTTGTCTTTGAAGGAAGCATAGAAAAAATAAATAAACTGGGGGAAAGGCACCCTATTCAATAAATGGTGCTGGAAAAACTGGATAAACACATGTAGAAAAATGAAACTGGATCTCTATCTCTCATCATATACAAAAATCAACACCAGATGTATTAAAGACTTAAATCTAAGACCCTAAATTATAAAAATTCTAGAAAAAAATCTGAAAAACTTCTGAATATTGTCCTATTCAAAGAATGTATGACTAAGACCCCAAAACCAAATTCAATGAGAACAAAAATGAATCATGGGACCTAATTAAACTAAAAAGCTTCTGCGCAGAAAAAGAAATAATCATCAGAGTAAACAGACAACCCACAGAATCGGGGGAAATATTTGCAAACTATGTACCCTACAAAGGACTAATATCCAGAATCTACAAGAAATTCAAATAAATCAGCAAGAAAAAAAACTCACTAAAAGGTGAGCAAATGACATGAATGCATTTCTCAAAAAGAGATATACAAATGGCTAACAAACATGAAAAAAAGCTCAACATCACTAATCATCAGGAAAATGCAAATTAAAATGAGATACCAACTTACTACAGCCAGAATGACCATTATTTAAAAAACAATAAAAACAATAGATGTTGATGTGGATGTGGTGGAAAGGGAATGCTTATATACTGCTGGTGGGAATGTAAATTAGTACAACCTCTATGGAAAACAGTATGGTAATTTCTCAAAGAACTAAAAGTAGATCTACCATTCAATCCAGCAATCCCACTACCAGTTATGTATCCAAAGGAAAAGAAGTCATTATATCAAAAAGACACCTGCATGCATACGTTTATTGCAGTAGAATTCAAAACTCTAAAGATAACAATCTAAGTGCCCCTCAAGCAATGAGTGGATAAAGAAGATGTGATATATACATACATACATACATACATACATATATATATATATATATATACACACACACCATGGAGTACTGTGCAGCCATAAGAAAAGAATAAAATAATTTCTTTAGCTATAAATTGTGATGGAACTGGAGGCCATGATTTTAAGTGAAGTAACTCGGGAATAGAAAACCAAATACCAAATGTTCTAACTTATAAGCAGGAGTTAAGCTGTGTGTATGCAAAGGCATACAGAGTCATTAATGGACATTGGAGACTCAGAAGCGGGGAGATTTGGGGGAATGGGGTAAGGGATAAAATGCTACACATTGGGTACAATGTACACTATTCGGGTGATGGGTATACTAAAATTTCAGGCTTTACTGCTATAAAATTCATCCTTGTGACAAAAAGCCACTTGTCCCCTTGAAGCTATTGAAATAAAATAATAATGATAATATAAATGTCAATAAACTGATAAAAAATTGTTGTGAATCAGAATCTTGAAATAATTTGATAAAAGTCTCATTTCTAAATAAGACAAGTAGCAATTAACAAATGATAGATTAAAGGAACTATTAGTTTTCAATTGTTTTGATCTTTTAAAATATGAAAAGTATTGGCCAGGTGCAGTGGCTTACAACTGTAATCCCAGCACTTTGAGAGGCTGAGGCAGGCGGATCACCTGAGGTTGGGAGTTCGAGACCAGCCTGACCAACATAGAGAAACCCTGTCTCTACTAAAAATACAAAATTAGCTGGGCGTGGTGGCGCATGCCTGCAATCCCAGCTACTCGGGAGGCTGTGGCAGGAGAATTGCTTGAACCTGGGAGGCAGAGGTTGCAGTGAGCCCAGATTGTGCCATTGCATTCCCGCCTGAGCAACAAGAGTGAAACTCTGTCTCAAAAAATAAATAAATAAATAAATAAATAAATAAATAAATAAATAAAATATAAAAAGTATTGATAGAAATAGAAAACACAATTGTTATCAACAATATCAATAGTGTTGATTAAAACCAAAACTGTAAGTCCAAAAATCTTACATAATGAGGACTTTGTTAAGCTAATTTAAAGATTACATATGTCTTAAAGGAGAAATGAAAATTTTGCTTTCTTTAATCATAATTAAAGGTGCATCTCTGGGAATTAGGCACAAATTTTAGACACTACTGAAGTGTCAAAGGAAGTCAGGATGAAATAGACACAGTCTAAAACTGAAGCTTGAGGCATTTATATATTTCTTAGTAGAGCTCTTTGTTGGATTAATTTCCAGTATCTTTATACAACACCTGGCTTAAACAATTACCATTATTCATTCACTATCATAACTACTAAATTCGTTCCTGAAGAAGAAAGCCCATTTGTGGGACTGAGGTGAACTTCAGAATAAATAAATAAAAATTGTAAAGTAATACATGAAATTCCTGTAGGTAATATAAAATCTGTAATTACTTGGAATTTTTAACAGCCTCATTAACATATATATTTAGCTCTAATAAGATATTTTCAAATATTGGGAAGAGAATAAAATAATACTTTAGCAGGAGTAATTATCAAATAGTTTGAATAAACTGTAGATCTTGTGTCCATAAAAACAGAACTATGCACAGTAAACATCCTGATGTAATTGAGATAATTGGGCAGTTATACTTCTCTCCACAAATGTAAAAATGTCTCTACTGCGTTAGCATTACTTACTATCCATAGTTAACAACTGTCTACAGGGTGACATCACTTAACTCAGTCAAATTTTTTTCCTTAATATACATATTTTTGACAGTATGATCAGTTAATTTTGACTTTTTTCTACTCTGGGCCAAATTTGTAAATACTGTTCTTCCTGAAATTTCCCAATACAGTTGTGTGACACTATTTCTGAATTTTAAAGTTATTTTCCCATAGCTACCAAGAGATAAGAAGCAATATTTTTGTTTCCATTGTCTGTACAAGCACTCAGGCTAAGAAGAGTAAAGTTCAAATATGACATTTAAACCTGCCATTTAAACACCTTGTAAGTTGTTTGCTCCATTGCTTAAAACTTTACATTTTTATTATAGAGGCCATCAAAAAACCATGTAGTTTTTCTGATTTCCTGTTTCTTTCTCCAAAGATTATTTATCATCAGTTGAGAGGTATGTTTATCTAAACAAGCTTTCTATATACTCCACTGGACTGATAACTTCCTAGGTTTATTTTCCATGTTTGCTCATGTGTCCACTCCAGAGTTACCTGGCTCTGTTGTTCAAGGTATCAAAGTCCTCACGATGATGCCGAAGTGAAAATACACTCTAATACTAACCACAGGTTTCTAAAAATTATACTCAGGTTTGCATCTTGCCACACCTTTACTTTATGCTCTCATTCAGTGTGTTGGTCCCAGAAAATCTGGATTGTATCTATGTAAGATTCCATAACACTGGTAACCTCTGTCTCACATTTAATCCATAAATAAAGAGGAACTTGAGGCAGCACAGTTAGCTTTTTGTAACACAGCAAGGGCTACACACAATACACAACATCTCCTTTCTAAACAACCCCAAATACTTGGTGACAAAATAGTAAAGATTTCATACGACAGAAATCTGCTGTAGGTACATAAGAGAAATAAGTAGCTTCATCCACAGAGGTGATTACATCAAGAAAAGCATAAAACAATGTAAATAAAAGAATGAACACACACATACACAAAAGGTTAATATACTAATTTAGAAGACTTATTTTCCAACACAATAAAACTGATACTTGATTAGCAGGAATCCATTAGAGCATGACAAGAGCTGAACATCTTCAGATGTAGGCATTAGTCAATATGCCCCACTGGGAACTGGGATATGGATAAGTAGATATCAATTAATATTCTTTGCTATTAAAAATAATGCTGATATGGACATTCCTATACATTTTTTTCCTATTTAAATATGTCCATTTGTCTAATAGAAAATCTTTTCTGTTCTTCCTTTTCAAGAGTGTTGGCTACTCTTAAAATTTTGCTATTTTATATATATTTTAGAAACTACTTCTTAGAATAAATGAGAAACCCTGTAAATTTTTGATGATTGCATTGAATCTATATATTAATTTAAGAAGAATTCACATAATTTGTATTTTTTCACTACTAACAAATATTTTCCATTTATTTAGAACTTCCTAAATATATTTTTATCAAAATTTTTGACAGATTGTATACCTTTTGCTCGGTTTCTTCTTAAGATTAACACTTTTTGTTAATATGTTCAAAGCTATCTTTTAAAAAATTGTATAATATATTATTATTGGTATGAATATTAAATTGACTTGCTTACTTCCCCCGGGTTTCTATTTCTTTCTTTCTTTTTTTCTTTTCTTTCATTCTTTATTTTTTTGGACAGAGTCTCACTCTGTCACCCAGCCTGGTGTGCAGTGGCTCCGTCTCAAATGGCACCATCTTGCTGCCACCTCCGCCTCCCAGGTTCAAGTGATTCTCCCACCTCAGCCTCCCAAGTAGCTGGGACTGTGGGCATGTGCCACCACTGTGGGCATGCGCCACCACTGCAAGCTAATTTTTGTATTTTTAGTAGAGATGGAGTTTCAGCATGTTGGCAAGGCTGGTTTCAAACTCCTGACCTCAAGGGATCTGCCCCCCTCGACCTCCCAAAGTGCTGGGATTACAAGCATGAGCCACCATGCCTGACCTACATGCGTAATTTTTGTTTGACCTCTGTGAACTGTTTATCTTCCTGCCATTTCAATCATGTATCATATATATATATATACACACACACATATATATGTATATATAATATGAAATAAATATAAAAATAAAACTATATATTCCTTTTTATTTATGTCCAATCTTTCAGTTTTATCTTTATTATGAGGTTTGTTTAGTGTGCTTAGTCCACTGTACTACCAGAAACAGAAGGCTGTCATTAATTTGTATTTGAGCTCTTATATCCCTCCCTCAGCAAGAGTTTTAAAAGATCTTAAATATAGGCTAGACATGGTAGCTCATGCCTGTAATCCCTGCACTTTGGGAGGCTGAGACAGCAGGATAGCTTGAGCCCAGGAGTTGAAGACAAGTCTAGGCAACATACTCTCTATAAAAATTTAAAAATTAGCCAGGCGCGGTGATGTACACTGGCAGTCCAAGCTACTCAGGAGGCTGAGGTGGGAGGATTGCTTAAGCCTGGGAGTTCAAGTCTTCAATGAACCAAGACTGCACTGCTGCCCTCCATCCTGGGCAACAGGGCAAGCCTATGTCTCCAAAAAAAAATGACCTTAAAAATCTGGAATCCATAATAATATCATAATAACACTTATGAATTTTTCATTTTACGTAGCATCCTTAATTCCTTATAATTGCTTGTTACTCCTTACATCTTGATAAACAAACATATGGGCTATGGATTAATTTACCCAATAATTTGTGTGCCTTATATGCTCAAATCTACAAAAATAATTAGAAAACTCATGGAACATTTAATTTGATGTAGATGATTAGAGTTTATATATATATCATGTCACCTTTATTAGTTTTTAAACCCTAAGAACTGAATAACTATAAAATGAACATGTCAATTATAACACATTTAATGGAAAAAATGACCTTTGCAAAAACTTTTTTATTTTTTCTAAACATTCCTATCATTTTAAAAGCACATATTAATGCAGGGATCATCAATGCAAAGTCGTTGAGAATGTACCATACCCTCAGGTTTGTAACAATCTGAATCTAGTCTTTGTATTTAATCTGTCAGGATTACCACTAATTAGAGAAGCATGTTCACATGTAGATCAAATAAGGTATAAAGCAACATGTATTGTATGATATAGGCAAGTTCAATTCTCACAAAAGCCACTTCCTCTCTGAATTTGAGAAGTTACCAACCTATAACTCATATGGAAATTATAATGAACTTTTACCTCCTAAAATTTTGAGTGCTTGAAAATGAAAGACAAGCTCAATTAGAAGGCAGCACAATTTTCAGAAGATTGTAAGTCACCAATATATAAAAATCTTTATTTTTATTATCATTATTATAATCACTAGTACTACCGACCAGCAAAATAAAAATCGCCCTTAATGATTTCAAGTCTACTATCATTATCCTTATGTAACAATTGGTTATTTAAGATAAATTATTTCTTTTCTTATCCCTTTCTTTATCATAAACAGACTCATTTTCTTTCATAAAGTTTCCTCTATTACAGAACGTGACCACATTTTCCACATTTGTTAGGCTTTGTCAGGTGGCAAAGGTTACTGTGGATGATACAGATTATTTTAAAAGATGCAAGAGAAAGTAAGGGAATTAGAAACAATGGTGTTAGGGCTCAAAGAGAAGACACATAGTGTTCAAGTAGCCTGAAGGATGCATTATTGACTTTACAGGAAGTCCAGTAAGTGGATACCTCAATAAAGGCAGCCTCCCTGGCTGTCTCGATTGTACTATTCCTGCACTCCCAAATATTAGAATTTCTCTATAATTCCCTCTCTACCTTGTGACTTTTCCTTTCCTATGCCTTTTGCTTAGTCATAGCCTCTACCATTTGGCTTCTTTCTATATGTCTTCTTCCTATTAATCTTATGTCCCATTACCAAATTGAGTCCATCTTTATACCCTTCTGTCAAATGTCTTTTGTTTTCTGCATTTTTTTTTTCATTTTGTTCCTACTGTTGCTGTTTGACAGGGCTGTGACACCAGAATATCTAAAGGCTACTGGCCTGGCTATAAATTGCTTTTGCCTCTATTATACACCCACACTTGATCCAACCAGCAACTTAAAGGGGACAGACTTCTATGATACTACACACACACACACACACACACACACACACACGCTCAGAGCAGGGGTGTAGAAAGGTTGGCAGTCTGAGGACTGAGCAGTGAAATCAGTCATTTTGTTCAGTCCTAATCAGAGTGATCACTTATTTGGAAGAATCTTTTCCCTCAAATCCAGTACCTCAAAGGTATTGTGATCATTTTGTCATTGATAAATGTTCATGTCTTTTCTCTCTCTACTTCCAAGCCACATAATTCCTATATTCTGTTCTCAGATCATTTCTTTATCCCATTCCTTCTGATCTAAGAATAACTGACCCATTCTAATGTATATTTTTACACTTCTTTGATACATTGCCTTGAATAGCTATAGAATACTACCTTCTTCCATGCACATTTCTCAATCATTTCAAGCTTTTCTAAGTTATTGACCTGCTGATAGATATTACTTTGCTATATTCTTGCCTGCATCATTTGATGTGCTGAGACTGCCATCTTACCCTGACACATTTCATTAATGTACTTTCTTTAACAGTATAAAACAATAGATCAAGAGAGTTCCCTGTAGTAACTTTTCATCTTAGACAAAAAAAATGCTTTTATTCCAGAATCACTGCTTCTGTTGTTTGATAGCCCATTAATATTCTGGCATTTGTTTATTGTTACATTCGTTTACAGATTGCTCCATTGCATTTTTTAAATGTCTGCAATATCAAGAGGTGAGAGAGGAGAAACTCAAGAAAGAAACTAGCTCAATTTATTCAAATAAACACCCTTAATTCCTATCAAAATAATAATATTTAAAGTCTCTGGATGACAGTCATTGTATTCTATTTTGTTTGAGCCAAAACAACTCACTTCTTTAGGTTATTTTTCTGAGACAAGTAACAAAATCCACTCTATTATTTTGGTTTCTGACTTCAGTTTCAACTATTTTATTAATGTGTCATAGCACATATTGTGGAGAAATAATTTCAAAGAAGGGTTACCCTTTGTTATGCTGATCAGACTTTCAAAATCTATTTTTTCCTGCTACAACCAAAAATTTACACAAAAATTAATATCTGTTGCTAAAACTTAGAAAAATAAGATTTATGTACTTAGCATTAAGACTCCAAAGATTCAAAACAAGCCAGGAAATACATCTGTTATATATTCTTTTTGCTTTACTTCATTTTAAGATGAAATGCTATACAGGTACTTAAGGTAGAATGATAAACAAAAAGAAGCAGACAGAAACAACAGATATCTACCAGAATCATCATGAAAAAACTAAGTATAGAGATATTAATATGTCCATAATATGTTTTATTTTATCTTTTATGTTGTCAAGATTCCTACTTAGTCCAATTTAGTACTTTATTTGTATAATAATAACTGTATTTTAATATAAACTGTTAAGAACTGATAGACTAAGTATTGGCACATATTGGAACAAAACATAACCACCATTAAAAGTTACAAAAATCACACACAACACATGCACACACACATAAACACACACAAAGAAGTTTGTATTCCAGTGACTGACATACCGCAGGGGACTCAAAAAATATCTGTTGCAATTAATTGGTAAACAAATGATGATTCTAACTGAAAGACCTCCTCCTCTTTTGGTAACACTTTAGGGTGTTGTTTTCATAATATTCTTTTCAAAGAATCCAGTGTTTTAAGTATTTGAGGACTGTATGACACAACAATGTTACTGAGGTGTACTGTAGACTCCAGGCAGAAGCTGCTCCTGAAAGACACTCAGACCTCAAATAGACTGCATACTTGTAGTCACAAAACTATATTGTATTAGTCTGTTTTCATGCTGCTGATAAAGACATAGCTGAGACTGGGCCATTAACAAAGGAAAAAGGTTTAACAGAGAACTCACAGTTCCACGTGAGTGGAAGGGAGGCTGGCCAAGAGAGACTGTGTAGGGGAACTCCTATTTTTAAAACCGTCAGATCTCGTGAGACCCATTCACTATCACGAGAACAGCACGGGAAAGACCCACGTCATGATTCCATCATCTCCAACCAGGTCCCTCCCACAACAAGTAGGAATTATGGGAGCTACAAGATGAGATTTTGGTGGAGACACAAAGCCAAACCATATCATCTATAAAAAGGTCAGCAATAACAGTGGTGAAGTATGACATTTCAGGGTCTATTTTAGCTACAGGAAATGGGCATGGTTTTAATTTTCACTGATTTGGTTATGGTAATATGTCATAATATTCTTAAACAAGGACAATTGTACCTGGTAGTTGTCAGAGGGTTACATAAGCATAGTCTAAATCTTTCAAAGGTTTTCATGTAAAACAGTTTGGTTTCTGTTTAAATGCTGAGAATGAAATAAAACTGTTTTTCAACTTCAGCTCAGCTCTCTTGTTTCAGATGTCCATAAGCAAAATTTAGCAGTTGCTTATAAAAGTTTCAGTTGGAGATATATTGGACCATCTGTTTCATTTGCTCTCCAATACTTGAAGATAAGTAACCCCTGGCATCAGAAGCAAATACAACAGCTGTGATTTTGCTTGTAGTATGCTAGTTGTGCTATCAAGATTCCAAATCCTAGGGTATCATAATGTCTTCCAAGGCCAAATGATTTAAACCAAGGTCAGTAGATTGTTCTCTGAGGACAGGGAAAAATGATAGTTTAGGATTTGATCACTCAGGTATGGTGACAATTAGCATTAATTTGTGACTTTTAGATACTGAAATTGATTTTACCACTAAAGTAGAAAATTTCAAACTGAATAAGGTATGCGCACATCAATCTAATAAATGTGGATGATCAAAGCAAACCAGATGCTTTACAAACATCTCCTCTCATTTATGTGAGGGGTGTATAGCATTTCTTAAACTCCTTATATTATCTCTAAATCACAACATTTAGTCCATGCCACGCTCATTTGACTACTAGTAAATTCAGTTAAGATCATATTTTACGGAGTCTTCTCTTCTACTGAGTTTTAGGTAAGCTGGAATATTTGGTCTTGAGTTCATATTGAACACTGCTTGCCCAAGCCAACATGGCTTTTCTGAAGTGTTTCTTTTGTTCCTATGCCTATTCTTTTGTTCTTATACAGGAATGCTTTGCTGTGGCTCTCAATGCTTTTAGTATTCTGGTCTGCTTTCTCCCCTCTATTTGTCCACCCAATGCCCAATTCTCCTGCCATCAATTCAGAGGGCCTGTCATCTAAGACTTCATGGTGCATGTACTGCTGCTACAGGTAGACAGTTTCATCAGTGCTCACCCCTGATCCTCCATACTTCTTTCAAATCAATCAATGTGAATGGCCTTTCCTCTTGTCTTCTCACAACCTGGATGTATTTTCTAAAACAAATGTCTCGTAGAAGTTCTCTTCTGGAAGTAGTGCAAATATTTTGTTTTGCTTCCAAACTTCCTAAGTCAAAATAACTATCTTTTGGGGATGAGAAAGAGTTTGCCACTTTTTTCATTCACTTGCAGCAACATAAATCTGAAATAAACTACCTTCTCACTTGTAGGTGTACTCACGATGCAGGGGAAAAGTACAAAATATTTTACAAAACCTTCTACTTCAAAATATTTATCTTCTATTAAAATGCATTTTATGTATTAAATTCTCTTGAATAGGTTATTTATAAGTAAGGTTTAGATGATAGGTTATATGCTCATCATATTTATGAGTAACTTAAGTTCTTTTCTGTGTTACTAATTATTTGTGAAGCTATTACATTCAGAAGCAAAAGTATTTTTCATTCAACTAAGAAATAAAGCTTTGATACTATCAACCTACATTAATAGCTCAGGTGACAATGATGAATAGAGTCTTCCAAATTTTCAGATTTCAGTGGACTGATAAAGTTCAACGAATTTCACTAAACATGGCTTACCATCTTGTAGAAATGTCTTAATGGGTAAAAAGCATGATTCACATATAACTATTTTGCCCTAAATACAAGAAAATAACATATATTTTTAGAATTAATTTCTAGCCAGGGATTAGGACAGGCTTTAAAATATTATATTACCATGTAAGGTTTTAGGAAAAGTTCTTAATACTGCTGACATTTTAAAACTTGCCTGAAAAATTGGCTGTTGGCATATTCTAATCCTACTAGGAGGACTGAGTAGCAAAGCTTATCTCTCATTATTTTTTCCTCTGGGAGAAAGGACAAAGAGGTTTGATAAATAACTAGTGAATATTAAATGGCAGTGATCAGTATTAATTTAGGGTAATTGTTTTAATGTATGGCCAATTGACATAACATTATACGGACTCAAATATTTATCAATGATACAAGTTCATTTTGAGGGTGTACCATTTATTTAAAATGAATCTTCCTGTGGACAAAGTGCCAAGCATTCTGAAAATTCACAGGTCCCAGTTTCCTGGTTTATTTTGTTCACTCCTGACTTATTAACCCATTTAATTAAAAATGACATATTACTTCCTATATTTGTATTCTTTACATATAAATCTGCCAGAACAGAGAAACAAATTCATCTTCATTCTCATGACAGAGATAGAGAAAATTGCCACTTGTACAAAAAATATTCATTACATTTGTGGTCTTATAAACAGCATCCTGGAATTTCTCTCCGGTGTCACTTGGATTTATTTTAGTGTATACTATTCGAAGATAATGGCTGAAATCAAACGATGAATCCTTTAGTGAATTGAGAAGATGGTGTGGCTTCCAAAAATATGACAGCTTTTGTTTCTTCTTAAAAAGTCCATCCTCCATTGCAGGGATTTTTGGCATACCTAAATTTATGTCCATTTGTTCATTTGTCACACAAATAGAAATGCATCCTTTAAGCAACAGGCACAATATGGGATGCTGCAGGTGAGATAACAGCATGGCACATGGTTTCTGTTTAAACGTTCCTTACAAGCTAATTATGGAGATCAGACATTGCACAAATATCTAATTCAAGGTGGTGTGTGTGTGTGTGTGTGTGTGTGTGTGTGCGCGCATGTGTGCATTCCATGCAAAAGATACAAATTTGGTACTGTAGAAGCATACACAGGAGGAATCACATCATTCTGCCTAGATAAATCAGAGAAAGTAATTTAAGAGGAAAATAATATTGGCTAAATCTTGAGGCTTTGAACCTTGATTTCGAAAAATTGGTCATCAGGAGTAAGGAGCACACCTAGTCAGAAGAAACACCATGAACTCACCCAGGGCAAACACTACTGTTTTTGACTTCTGGCAATCTTTACAAATTGGCTGAAATTAAGGTAATTAAGGTCAAATCTTAATTTGATCAACACTGAGAAATTTCCTGGAATGTGGGATTTTCAGTGTTAAAACAAGGACACACATGAACAAACTGAGATGATTGCTCACCCTAGATTAAATACAAGTTTTTTCCTACCTTTATCTTCTTTCCAATGTTATTCTTATTTCTATGTCATACCTTTCCAACTTTAATCTACAAGTATTTTTACATATGAATCTAATAATCCATTAAACCCAGCAAATCAATTGAAGACTTTCCCCCTTTTGTGTGATCTGCAAGGGTTTAACCTTCATTGTCTTCAGAAAGTGGGGTGGAGAGATGATACTACATTCAGACTCCTTAGCATGGCAAAAACAACACAGAAAGGTAATGATGATAAGAATAATAATAGCTAACACAAATTGAGTTATTACTAGGGGTTGTTCTAAGCATTTCATGTATATTTATGCATTTAATACCTATAACAACCATAAGAGATGGGAATATCTGTGAAATTGTTACAGTGAGAAAACTCAGGCATTGAAATATTAAGTAACTTGTCCAAGTGCTGAAACTGGAAGTAAAAACCAAAGCAATATGACTTCAGCTTCAATCCTCTTCATTACACTACTGGATTTCCATGTAAAATCTAAACTTTATATTCTGCAGTATTTAGAATAAGATGCAAGGTCAAAAAAGGTTGGGTTTAAAAATTTTTTTTCATTCCTTTCTTTTTTTTAAGATGGGAAAGATTTAAGGGGATTTAAAGACTGAAGACAGGAAGACAGTAGAAGTCCAGAAAAGAAACGGAATGCTACTGGAAGTTATAAGAGGAAATCATCAAAGGGGAGCATTGGCCTTGAAAATTCTTCTTTCAGTGGAGGGAGGTTAATGCTGTTATTCACCAGACTTTATAGGATAAAGAAATAGATGAAATATAGAATCTAGGAAATATATAAATGAAAATGATCTCAAATTAAGTGAAATGACATTATTTTTCCATAACTATTTTTCGAAGAATTTCCTTTTTTTGCATTGAGAAAGAGGAGATTGAAAAGGGATAGATCAAGTTGATGTGTAAGGCTTACTAGGGTAAACTTCTGTCAGTCAAGCTCATTGCTCTCTCTGGAACATTTTTCACATATCCTTCTGAATAAAACTCTTCCCTTAACATCTAGTACAGTCTGTTTCTATCTCTCTAAACACATGTTCCTAATCTCATTGCTGGATCTTACTCTCCTTTTATCAAATCTGTGTGTGCCCTAAAGGTTTATTCATGTAATTTTAACATTCATTCATCCACAACTGTTTTCCTCTATCATTGTGGTAATGTCAACTCACATATTTGTTTCTCATTACATATGTTTAGTTAAATTAATAATCATAGAACAAATCTTGGATTTGTCAAAAATTTGATAAGATAAATTTTACAGTGGATTCTATTGCCACAGTTTTTACACAGAAAAATAGTAACTTCTGAAAAGTTTTCTTCTTGTTGGCAGGAATAAACAGTTCACTGTTAATTTTTTCTGTAGCTATATCTACATGATAGTTAAATATTTCAACATCTAAAATATTCTGCCATCTTAAATCTACAGTTTTATTAATAGTTTTTTTTTGCTTTTATTTTAAAATTTCAATGTTGTCATTTATACTTCTAGTAGAAAAAAAAAGCCAAAATACTTTCTACTAGACTTAACCTTGCAGCATTATCCACTTTAAAATGGAGTTGGATTGCCTGGACACAGTCTAAAAACAAAATTATGTTGCATCATCTAAGGAGAAATAAACTCATTTTCAAGGAATGAAAACTCTAGAGTTTCTAGAGTTCTCTAGCCTCTAGAGGCTAGAGAGACACTCTCTGATTATTTGTAAAAAGAAAAAAAAAAAGTCTAGACCCTGAACAGATCACTTCAAGGCAACTTAGATTTTTTTCTAACATGTACCTCGAAAACTCTTCCAGCCTCTACCCATTACCCAGTTCCAAAGCCACTTCCACATTTTTAGGTATTTGTTACAGAAGCACCCCACACTTGGTACCAAAATCTGTATTAGTTTGCTAAGTATGCCACAATGAGTACTACAGACTGGGTGGTTCAAACAACAGAAATCTATTTTCTCAAACTTCAACATCGAGTTGTCAGTAGGGTTGGTTTTATTTTGCGGCCCCTCTCCTTACCTTGTAGATGGTTGTCTTATCCCTCTGTTTTCACACAGTCATTTCTCTGTATATGCACGTGTGTGGTCTCTCTTTCTGTGTGTCCAAATTTCCTCTTCTTAAAGGACACCAGCCATATTGGGATAAAGATCACACTAAAGCCCTCATTTTAAATTAATAACTTATTTAAAGACCCAAATACAATTACATTCTGAGGTACTAGGGGTTAGGACTTCAAAATATGAATTTATTGGGAACAGAATTAACATGCACTACTTTCAAAAAGTGCTGTATAATTAACAACATTTAACATGTAGACATCTCTGTTATTTCAAAGAAACAACTGAGATCAAGCAGTTAAGAGACTCGCTTAGAGTTACATAGCTAATTAGAAGGATAACCAGGACTGGGTTTTCATATTTTTTTCCCTATTCTTCTAACTATCTTTCAGAATGCCTCTTGCATATTTCCTTTCTGATGCTATTCTCTTAATCTTTTTTTTTTCTTTTTTGAGACGGAGTCTTGCTCTGTTGCCCAGCCTGGAGTGCAGTGGTGTGATCTTGGCTCACTGCAACCTCTGCCTCCCAGGTTCCAGCATTTCTCCTGCCTCAGCCTCCAGAGTAGTTGGGATTACAGGCACCAGCCACCATGCCCGGCTAATTTTTGTATTTTTAGCAGAGACGGGGTTTCACCATGTTGGCCAGGCTAGTCTTGAACTCCTGACCTCAAGTGATCTGCCTGCCTCGGCCTCCCAAAGTATTAGGATTACAGGCATGAGCCACTGCACCCGGCCTATTCTCTTAATTTTTAAACTCTACCTTATCTTTCTTTTTCTCAAATTCTTAGGTATGGTGACAATTAGCATTAATTTGTGACTTTTAGATATCTGAAGATATTCTTTTCACTGCCATGGCTTTTAATACTATAACTATACTTCCACTCTGGATTTGAATTTCCAGCTTCATCCCAACTCTGTCACTAAGCTTTAAACCCACGTGTCTACTGACCACTGGACACCTCTACTCAGGTGTCCCCAGACTCCTCAAATCCAATCCCACTCACCCCCAAAATATCTTCCTTTTTATATTTTATGTCCTTAAACTCCTTCTCCTTTGAAATAAATCTCTGAATCAGTCAACACTTACCTTGTCTAAAGCTAGAAATCCTAATACCATTTTAAATGTTTTCCTTTACCACACCCCTCATATACAATTAATCACTATGTCTCATTTCTTCCACCTAAAAAATCTTAAATGGGCCCAATCCTTTTTTATCAGCTCTTCTTCAGTTCCCAGAATTCATTTTCTTGCCTCCTGACTTTTGTATATGTTATTCTCCTGATAGGGAAATATATAACCAACTTTACATGTCACTAATTTAATATCATTGTGCTCTGCTGTAAACTTAGAAATAACTGTTTCTAGGAAAACTTTGCTGTTCACACTGGATTCGTTCCCTCTCCCTGTGCTCTATTCCTGCTGCACTGCAGCTACCATGACACTTAGTGCTCTGGATTCTTGGGGCCTGAACAATTGTCTGAGTGCTACCCACTCCCTCAGTAGGCTGGCAATTCCTGTAGGACAGAAGCTATGAGTTCTTACCATATCTCTGTAATGCTTCTTTTTGAGAGGAGGTAATAATCACATAAACACTACTTGTGGTGAATGAATTCTGGTCTACACAATTTTAATGAAATATTTATTCTATTTTATTAGGTTGCTACATCTTTGGGTAACATTATTGAAGACTCAGGTAGACAATTTATATAAAAACAGATTTAGTTTTTGGCAGTTCATCTAGCCAAGATAACATGTAGAAAATAAGATTCAGCACATAGAGATATATCTTTATTAGTCTTGTGTCTTGGGTTTTTTTTTCTTTTTTCCTGAAAATCAGATTGAGGGATGTAACTTAGTAAAAGTGTCTCAGTTCATTTTGTCTGCCCTGGCACTTTAAAATTCATTTAAAGTTTTGAAAAATGGATGCTTAAGGAACATGAAGACGTTTAACAACATTAGTGTGCAGTGATAAAAAAAATATGAGAACGAAAGCAATAGTACCTCAAATTAAAATATAAGGACTATATAACATTTTTAAAATGTGTATACTAAATTATGATGAAATGAAAGTGACATAAATAGACAGAAAAGTGGTTACCTACTATATTTAAACTTATTAGCAATTCTGGCAGGCCGAACACAGGCAGGGAGTTTTGGACGAAGGTGTCTATTACAGAGTGATCTGCAATCTGTTCACTGAGGCAGAGCTGCAGGAAAACCTCAGAGAAAACTCAGGTCAAATCTCATTCAAGTTGTCTTAGCCATGACACCATTCAACTCAAAGAAGTAAATGCATAGGATTTAAAGTATTTCCTATATGCATATTTTCATAATGCTATATCTTAATATTTTACATTAAGGATTTTATATTTTGATCATAAATGAAAGGAATACTTCTAATAGCTGAGGCATCTGCAAAAAGCTGGGTGCAACTACAGGGAAAATGTCTGAATGTGTAATAGGGTAGAAAATTAGGTAAAAATAAGCATTACTATTTGGCCTTGTTCTTTATTTTATATTTTTTCCCAGCTGTCTTCAGTAAGGCAGCAATAAGAAAGAGGTGATAGAGACAGTGTAGAGATAGGAATTTTGACATTGATTTCCTTACCAAGGAGAAGATATGTTGTTAGTATTAAAAAATATATATCTTAAATGTTTGAATGGGTTGGAAAGAGAGGGACCTTTTTAGAGGTTGAAAAGAACTTTAACAATGTATATGTATGATAGATTCTTTACCCATATTTCCAATTTGCCTTTTAGATATATCATTTTTACATTGGTTTAGATCCCTACCAGAAATTGACTGGATGGTCCATTGGATGGTTCTCATTACCAAGATGCTGTCTAGAATGTATTAAAGGAGGTATTATTGCAAGAAAATGTACATATGCCTAAGTATTTAACCTCTCAGTGATCATCCTCCAATGCCACTTTCGGCTTCAAGTTGATTAGGATAGCCCAGGAGACCATCAAATAATCTTCATTTTTAAACAGGTTTGGCAATTCTAACTTTATCTGCCATTCTGCTATTCTATTGAAGGAGTCATTTTGGAGGCTCTTACCATGGATCCCAGCTGACCCCATGCTGGTAGCCTTAAAGTCCAACTTCTGATTCAGTGAGGTTTCTGGGCAATACTATAGAGGCAACTGTTCTTACTGTAATAATTCCTTAATCTTGTATACTAAGGCTAAATACCCTATGTGATGGGGTAATGAAATATAAATAACAATTTGTGTTTTTGGCAGTGGTGGAGTATAGAGGAAGGAGAGGCTCCTTATGACTTCTGAAAAGGTCATTAATCATAATCACTGTTGTAACAAGCTAAAGTTACATTTTCTTCACTTCAGCAATTGAAAAGTCCATTATAAGTTGATAGACCTGGGACAATGTTATATATAGTATATGTAATTCATTTATAAATATTTATAAATACTCTGTTAGCCTCTCACTTTTCTAGAAGACTAATCTCTAGAAAGACAATCTTGAATAATTTTTTAAATTGCCATTCCTGTCAGTATATGTGATATGGTTTGGCTGTATCCCCACCCAAATCTCATCTTGAATTGTGTTTCCCATAATCCCCATGTGTTGTGAGAGGGACCCGATGGGAAGTGATTGGATCATGGGGGCAGTTCCCCTCTGCTGTTCTGGTGATAGAGAGTGAGTTGTCATGAGATCTAGTGGTTTTATAAACATCTGTAACTTCCCCTGTTTGCACTTATTCTCTCCTGCCACCCTGTTAAGAGGTACCTTCTGCCATGATTGTAAGTTTCCTGAGGTCTCCCCAGTCATATGGAAACGTGAGTCAATTAAACTTCCTTTCTTTATAAATTACTCAGTCTCAGGTATTTCTTCATAGCAGTGTGAGAATGGATTAATACAATAAATTAGTATGGAGAAGTGGTGTACTGCTTTAAGCATACCCAAAAATGTGGAAGTAACTTTGGAGCTGGGTAACAGGCAGAGGTTCGAATAGTTTGGAGGGCTCAGAAGAAGGCAGGAAAATGTGGGAAAGTTTGGAACTTCCTAGAGACTTGGAGGGCTCAGAAGACAGGAAGATGTGGGAATGTTTGAAACTTCCTAGAGACTTATTGAATGACTTTGACCAAAATGCTGAGAGTGATATGTACAATGAAGTCCAGGCTGAGGTGGTCTCAGAAGGAGATGAAAAATTTGTTGGGAATTGGAGTAAAGGCCACTCTTGCTATGCTTTAGCAAAGAGACATGTGGCTTTTTGCCCCTGCCCTGGAGATTTGTGAAACTTTGAACTTGAGAGAGATGATTTAGGGTATTTGGCAGAAGAAATTTCGTTTTATTTTTTGTTTTTTGTTTTTTTTTGAGACAGAGTCTTACTCTGTCACCCAAGCTGGAGTGCAGTGGCATGATCTCAGCTCACTGCAAGCTCCACCCCCTGGGTTCATGCCATTCTCCTGCCTCAGCCTCCCGAGTAGCTGGGAATACAGGCACCCACCACTACTGCCAGCTAATTTTTTGTATATTTAGTAGAGACGGGGTTTCACCATATTAGCCAGGATGGTCTCAATCTCCTGACCTCGTGATCCACCTGCTTTGGCCTCCCAAAGTTCTGGGATTACAGGCATGAGCCACCGCGCTCAGCCTGGCAGAAGAAATTTCTAAGCTGCAAAGCATTCAAAAGGTGACAGAGCATAAGAGTTTGGAAAATTTGCAGCTTAATAATGCAGTGGAAAAGAAAAACCCATTTTCTGAGGAGAAACTCAAGCCAGCTGCAGAAATTTGCATAAGTAATGAGAAGCCAAATTGTAATCACCAAGACAATGTCTCCAGGGAATGTCAGAGACCTTTATGGCAGCCTCTTCTGTTACAGGCCTGGAGACCTAGGAGGGAGAAATGGTTTCCTGAGCTGGGTCCAGGCCCCCATGCTGTGTTCAGCCTCAGAACTTGGTGCCCTGCATCCCAGCCACTCCAGCCTTGGCTAAAAGTGGCCAAGGTACAGCTCAGGTCATTGCTTCAGAGGGTACAAGCCCCAAGCCTTGACAACCTCCATGTAGTGTTGGGCCTGCAGGTGTGCAAAAGACAAGAATTGAGGTTTGGGAACCTCCGCCTAAATTTTAAAGGATGTATGGAAACACCTGGGTATCCAGACAGAAGTCTGCAGCAGGGGTGGAGCCCTCATGAGGAACCTCTGCCAGGGCAGTGCAGAAGGGAAGTGTGGGGTTGGAGCCCACATATGGATTTCCAACTGAGGCACTGCCTAGTGGAACTGTGAGAAGAGGGCCGCTGTCCTTCAAACCCCAGAATGGTAGACTCATTGACAGCTTGCACTGCATGCCTGGAAAAGCCACAGACACTCAATGCCAGCCATGAACATAGCTGGGAGAGGGGCTGCACCCTGCGAAGTCAGAGGGGCAATGCTGCCCAAGGCCATGGGAGTCTACCTCTTGCATCAGCATAACCTGGATGTAAGACATGGAGTCAGAGGAGATCATTTTGGAACCTTAAGGTTTAATGACTGCCCTATTGGAATTCAGACTTGCATGGGGCCTGTAACCCCTTTGTTTTAGCCAATCTCTCCCATAGGAAATGTCTGTATTTATCCAATGCCTGTACCCCCATTGTATCTAGAAAGTAACTAACTTGCTTTTGATTTTACAGACTCATAGGCAGAAGGGACTTGTCTTGTCTCAGATGAGACTTAATAGTTGAGCTTTTGGGTTAATGCTTGAATGAGCTAAGAATTTGGGGAACTGCTGGAAAGGCATTATTGTGTTTTGAAATGTGAGGACATGAGATTTGGGAGGGGCCAGGTACAGAATAATGTAGTTTGGCTCTGTGTCCCCACCAAAATCTCATCTTGAATTGTAGTCACCTTAATCCCCACGTGTCATGGAAGTGACCTGGTGTGAAGTGATTGGATCATGGAGACAGTCTCCCCCATGCTGTTCTGGTGATAGTTATGAGTTCTCATGAGATCTGATGGTTTTATAAACGTCTGGAATTTTCCCTGCTTGCACTCATTCTCTCTTCTGCCACCCTGTGAAGTAGTGACTTCTGCCATGATTATAAGTTTCCTGAGACCTCTCTAGCCATGTGGAACTGTGAGTCAATTAAACCTCTTTTCTTGATAAATTACCCAGTCTCAGGTATTTCTTCATAGCAGCATGAGAACTGATTAATACAATGTGTATGTATGTGTGTGTATAAATATATATGATCTATAGTAATAGATCATAAAATGTGGCCATATGAATAATTTAAAATATGACAAAAATACATAAAGGCATTAATTAGGTCTTCTCTGGACCTCAGGGTGTTCACATTCACTGCCATCAAGTGAATTGGTAACTTTTTAGAAATTTCCAGAACCAGTATAGAAACTGGCTTGAGTAGCTAAAAGACAACCCAAACCCCAAGAAATACTCTGAGCAGAGTAAAATAATCCACATCATTAATTTTATTAATCAAGAATAGGCTAAGAAAACAAGAAATCTAAATTCTGAACAAAGGTGAACAAAAAGAATTATAGAAGCAGCATCTAAGACTACAACACTAGATTTACAAGCAGTCTGTATAATAAGCTCCTCACCATTCCTTCCAGATCCCCTTAACCCCTGGTTCCCAACAGAGTCACTACAAACACACAGGCACAGGCATAGATACATCACCTTTGCCCACTCTCTCTGCTTACTCTCTCTGAGACACTAAGGATGACCTGGGTAAATGAAGAAATTTATATCTTTAGCTTATTAGGGGAAAATAGCATACCTCTCACATAAAGGACTAAGTGTATTCAGGTTGCTTTTTGAGAGATAAATTATAAATCAACACAATAGCTCTTAGATGCCCAAGGTAGCAAGATTGAGAGTTTCAATATAACTAAGGAAAGAAAAGATCAATCATTACATGGTCACAATGGAAGTCATGAAAAAGCAACATTACCAAGGCCTTGCAAACTCCATCCACATCAATTAAACATTCTGTCTTAGGGAAGATTTATCCCCATTATGGGTATAGATGTGTTAGAATATTTGGGCATAAAGCTATTAAACATTAAAATCCTGTAATTCACTACTGTTGCTCTCATTTCAGGCTTTCCAAGCATCTGTCTGATGACTGAGGTAGCTTCCTATAGAGAGAGGTCAGGCTAGTCAGGCCTTCATGAACACTGAGCCTGGTGACAGGACATTTCTTATTTTAATGTAATACCCTAGAATCTTGATTTATACAGTTCACTATCTTAAGGTTGAATCTCCTTGAATCACTCAATTTCAGTGTACTGGCAAAATAGCATTTCTGGATCTGCTCAGCTCAGCTGAGGTTAGGTAAAGGATCAGGTAAATATCAGCATTTCTGGATCTGCCCAGCTGAGGTTAGGTAAAGGATCAGGTAAATATCACTTCACTCCATTTTATAAAATCTAGACCTTTCTGGCAAACCTCTGGCTTCACTGTCCGCCTATCTTTAAAATTTCAAAAATGCCTACTTTTTTGGTTTATGATGGGTATTAAACAGGATTATATATAAAATGACCCTGGCCTGGTGCATTTTATTTAAGGCTCATATAACATTGCTTCTCTTTCTGAACTTGAGAGCTCATAAAACAACTTTAACATTGTGGCACTCTGGTGCTCGTTCTGCCTCAACAGGAAAAACTTAATGCCCCAAACTAAAGCTGGGCAGTATGCCAGTCTATAGTGGTTTTTAAATAATATGCTTTTTCTTGATTATAAAAGCAAAAGATATATTTAATTCAGACACATAGAGAGCTATAAAAAGTGAAATAAAATCATTCATAACCAGTGGCATACTAGTAAATATTTAACAGCTGGCTCTTTGGGAAAAATGTATATGTTGATATACTTACATAAGTTTTTACAAGTTTTGGTGATATACAAATGATAATAAAATACATAATATTCTTTATTGTAAATTATATCTAACCTACGAATTTGTATACAATGCTTTCATGGATTTTTTTGCCAAATTCTGTTATCTGTAGACAAACTCTGGTTGTAATCCAAACATGATTCAACAAATGGAGTTTTATCCTACTCATCTATTACTTTTTGCAATACAGTTATTGTCATTAAATCTGAATTGTGATCTCCTCTTAAACTATTTATCACCCTTATACAAATTATACTCATTACAATGAGACCTATTTCATCTTCAGCACTAGACATGCACACATTAATCTATGCTATTAACTCTTTCTCTATTACTTTCCTAACTCTAGGCAAACAACAAAATATTGAATCAAGTCCTGATTTGAAGCATTGGCTGATTTCAAGCTACCCAAATGGCATCGCTGAATGTGGAGATAAGAAGTGATGTGCAGCAGCACACCATTATACAGTATTTCCAACATGTAGATAAAGAAAACATAAATAACCTGAAAAGTACAGATAATAACTGTATGCCTTGAATGCATTTTATTTTCTCTGAAGTACATTCTTAAGTGATTTTTTCCTATATTTTGTGGGTGACAAATTGTCTGAGTCTTGGCATATTAAAAGTTTCATTAATTTGCCTTTATATCTGGATAAGAATATAGCTGGGTATAGGAATCTAGTTTCAGATTATGTCTACCCATAAATTTAAGATTATTGCTCCACTGAGCTCTGCATTTGTACTCTTGTCACTAAGAAGTACAGTATTAGGAGTTTTTTCTCTATTGTTGGTAGCTGGGTTTTAGTCATTAAAAAAAAACTAAAGATTTTTGAAACTTTTGATTTATTAAAATTTTTGTTATAAGAACTTGCAGTCTGCATCATTTCTATTTTAATGTGTGTAGAGTCTGTTTATTATTTTCTCTTGAAACTCAGGGGTTTTTTTTGTTTGTTTTTTTGAGACGGAGTCTCGCTCTGTTGCCCAGGCTGAAGTGCAGTGGCGAGATCTCAGCTCACTGCAAGCTCTGCCTCCCGGGTTTATGCCATTCTTCTGCCTCGGCCTCCCGAGTAGCTGGAACTACAGGCGCCCGCCACCATGCCCAGCTAATTTTTTCTATTTTTTAGTAGAGACGGGGTTTCACTGTGTTAGCCAGGATGGTCTTGATCTCCTGACCTCGTGATCCGCCCACCTCGGCCTCCCAAAGTGCTGGGATTACAGGCTTGAGCCACCGTGCCCAGCCTGTTTTTTGTTTTTAGAGACAGTCTCACTGTGTTACTCAGATGGGTCTCGAACTCGTGGCCTCAAGTGATCCTCCCATCTCAGTCTCCAAATTCCTGGATTACAGGTGTGAACCACTGTGCCCAGCAGGGCTACTTTTAAATTTGGGGGAAATTATTTTTAATCATATTTTTAAAATATTTTCATTTCTTTATCTTCTCCTGATATTCCTCTGAAACAAATTCCAGAGCTATTACATCTGTCCTCTCAGATAAGTTATTAGTCAAACTAACCTTCTTTTTATATTTTTGCTCCATTTTCTGAGCTATATCCTTCATTTTATTTTTACTTTTAAGGGAGTTTAGGGGTAATCTGTATAGGAACCAATAAAAGGGGATGGCAAAGGAGCCTGGCTTCTGATGTTATCAAAGATTTCACTATAAGAATAGGTGTTATTTATATGCCTAAATTATCTTAGTTTACTCTGGATTTATTTTTATCTTACCAATGCTGTTTTTTTCCATATACTCAATTAATATTTTTAGATTGTTCACTTATTGCAATTACAACATTATTGCTCATAATATTGAACATAGGATCCTATTATTTCTCAGTGCAATATTCTCTGAATTGTTTATCTCTGAATAAAACAAATAACTTTTAAAGTAATATTTATGAAAACAAAAACCGTTTACTTCTGGGTCAGTCATTTAGTTTTCCATCTTTATCACTCATAATTTTGTGTTTCCTTGGTTTGGTAGTACTAATGTATCTATTCATGTTTATAAATGATGAGCTAGAATAATTAACAGATTATGGAGTTTTTTGAAATTGTGTATATTTATTTATCCAATTAGCTTTGATCATGAAAGGGAGGGTCCTCTGCTGGCTCTGTGAATATGATGGGGCATGCTCTTTAGTCAGCACAGTCTCATTTAGACCACACAAGAAGAAAGGAGGCAGCTGCCAAAAATATGGAGCACTGTACTCTGAAACTTGAGCTTTTTAGTTTATTTCACTACAAAGTGAAACTAATGTTCTTTTTTATTCTCCCTCTCATCGTTTGTTGTGGGGATCTGGACTTACAGGTTATGCTTTAAAGATGTTTATGTTTTTATGCAGTAAAATTTTCCAGTCTTGTGTCCATTTTTTGTCTTTCTTCTTTCTTCTTATTTCAATAGGTTTTTGGGGAATAAGTGTTGTTTGGTTACAGGAATACATTCTTTAGTGGTGATTTTTGAGATTTTGGTGTACCCAGCACTCTAGCAGTGTACACTGTACCCAATGTATAGTCTTTTATCCCTCACCCACCTCCCACCCTTACCCCCAAGGCCCCAAAGTCCATTGTAGTATTATTATTATTTTGAGACGGAGTCTTGCTCTGTTGCCCAGGCTGGAGTGCAGTGGTGCGATCTCGGCTCACTGCAAGCTCCGCCTCCTGGGTTCAGCTATTCTCCTTCCTCAGCCTCCTGAGTAGCTGGGACTACAGGTGCCCGCCATCACCCTCAGCTAATTTTTTGCATTTTTAGTAGAGATGGGGTTTCACCGTGTTAGCCAGGATTGTCTTGATCTCCTGACCTCATGATCCACCTGCCTTAGCCTCCCAAAGTGCTGGAATTACAGGCATGAGCCACTGCGCCTGGCCTCCATTGTATTATTCTTATGTCTTTGCATCCTCATAGCTCAGTTCCCACTTATGGGTGAGTACATAATGATGTTTAGTTTTCCATTCCTGAGTTACTTCACTTAGAATAATGGTCTCCAATTCCATCCAGGTTGCTGCAAATGCCGTTATTCCATTCCTTTTTATGGCTGAGGAACATTCCATGTTATATACATATATATATGTACTACATTTTATTTAACCACTCATTGAATGATGGACATTTGGACAGGTTCAATATTTTTGCAATTGCGAATTGTGCTGCCATAAATATATGTGTGCAAGTATCTTTTTTCATATAATGGCTTCGTTTCCTACAAGTAGTGAGAATGCTGGATCAAATGATAGATCTACATTTAGTTCTTGTAGGAATCACCACACTGTTTTCCATAGTGGTTGTACTAGTTTACATTCCCACGAACAGTGTAAAAAATGTTCCCTTTTCAACACATTCTCACCAACATCTATTATTTTTTGATTTTCTGATTATGGCCATTCTTGCAGGGGTGAAGTGGTATCACATTGTGGTCTTGATTTGCATTTCCCTGGTAATTAGTGGTGTTGAGCATTTTTTCATATATTTCTTGGCCATTTGTATGTCTTCTTTTGAGAATTGACTATTCATGTCCTTAGCCCACTTTTGATAAGATTGTTTGTTTTATTGTGGCTGATTTGCCTGAGTTCCTTGTAGATTCTGGATAATAGTCCTTCAGTTGGATGTATAGATTGTGAAGATTTTTTTTCCCACTCTTTGTTCCATGGCTGATGAGTAGAATGCATATTCTGTAGTTGTTGGGTAGAATGTTTTGTAAATATCTGTTAAGTCTGTTTGTTCTAGGGTGAAGCTTAAGTCCATTGTTTCTTTGTTAATTTTCTGTCTTGATGACCTGTCTAGTGCTGTCAGTGGAGGATTGAAGTCCCCAGTATTGTGTTGCTGTCTATCTCATTTCTTAGGTCTAGTGGTAATAGTTTTATAAATTTGAGAACTCCAGTGTTAGGTGCATATATATTTAGGATAGTGATATTTTTCTGTTGGACTAGTCCTTTTATCATAATATAATGTCCCTCTTTGTCTTTAACTGCAATTGCTTTAAAATTTGTTTTGTCTGATATAAGAATAGCTACTCCTGCTCACTTTTGGTGTCCATTTGCATGGAATATTCTTTTCCACCCCTTTATCTTAAGTTTATTTGAGTCCTTATGTGTCAGGTGAGTCTCTTGAAGATGGCAGATACTTGGTTGGTGAATTCTTATTCATTCTGCCATTCTGTATCTTTTAAGTGGAGCATTTAGATCATTTACATTCAATGTTAGTATTGAGATGTGAGGTACCATTCTATTCATCATGCTATTTGTTGCCTGAATATCTTGCTTTTTTTGCATTGTGTTATTGTTTTATAGGTCCTGTGAGATACATGCTTTATGGAAATCCTATTTTGGTATATTTTGGGGATTTGTTTCAAGATTTAGAGATCCTTTTAGCAGTTCTTATATCGCTGGTTTGGTAGTGGTGAATTCTCTCAGGATTTGTTTGTTCAAAAAAGACTATTCTTCATTTATGAATCTTAGTTTCACTGGATATAAAATTATTTGCTGATAATTGTATTGTTTAAGGAGGCTAAAGATAGGACCCCAATCCCTTCTAGCTTGTAGGGTTTTTGCTGAGAAATCCGCTGTTAATCTGATAGGTTTTCCTTTATAGGTTACCTGATACTTTTGCCCAACAACTCTTAAGATTCTCTCCTTTGTCTTGACTTTAGATAACCTGATTACTATGTGCCTAGGCAATGATCTTTTTGTGATGAATTTCCCAGGTGTTCTTTGAGCTTCTTGCATTTGAATGTCTAGATCTCTAGCAAGGCCAGGGAAGTTTTTCTTGATTATTTCCTCAAATATTCCAAACTTCTAGATTTCTCTTCTTTTTTGGGAACACTAATTACTGTTAGATTTGGCCTTTTAACATAATCCCAAATTTCTTGGAGGCTTTGTTCATTTTTTTATATATTTTTTGTCTTTGTCAGATTAGGTTAATTCAAATGCCTTGTCTTTGAGCTCTGAAGTTCTTTCTTCTACCTCTTCTACCTATTTGATTCTATTGCTGAGACTTTCCAGTGCATTTTCTGTTTCTCTAAGTGTGTCCTTGATTACCAGAATTCGTCATTATTTTTTATTTTTGCTATTTCACTGAAGATTTTTTCCTTTCATATCCTGTATCATTTTTTTTTATTTATTTATTTAAGTTGGACTTCATCTGTCTCTTGTGCCTCCTTGATTAGCTTAATAATCCACCTTCTGATTTGTTTTTTCTGGCAATTCAGAGATTTCATCTTGGTTTGGATCTATTGCTGGTGAGCTAGTGTGATCTTTTGGGAGTGTTTAAGATGTTTTGTCATATTACCAGAATTTGTTGTTGTTGCTGTTTTTCCTTCTCATTTGGGTAGACTATGTCAAAGAGAAGATCTGGGACTCAAGGGCTGCTGTTCAGATTCTTTTGTCCCACAGCATGCTCCCTTGATGTGGTGCTTTCCCCCTTCCCCTAGGGATAAAGCTTCCTGAGAGCCAAATCTGGTTCTAGCTACCCAGCAGAGCTACCAGGCTCTGGGCTGGTACTGGGGAGTGTCTGCAAAGAGTCCTGTGATGTGATCTGTCTTCAGGTCTCTCAGCTGTGGATACTAGCACCTGCTCTGGTGGAGGTAGCAGGGGAATGAGATGGACTATATAAGGGTCCTTGGTTGTTTTTGTTAAGTGTGCTAATCTTGTGTTGGTTGGTCTCCAGCCAGGAGATGGCACTTTCAAGAGCCTGTTAGCTGCAGTTGTATAGGGAGGATCAGACTTTAGGTGGGGTCATATATTTCCCAAGAGATTATGTCCTTTGTCTTTGGCTACCAGAGTGGGTAAGGACCATCAGGTGGGGGCAGGGTTAGGGTGTCTGAGCTCACACTCTGCTTGGGCAGGGCTTGCTATGGCTGCTGCAGGGGATAGGGGTGTAGTTCCCAGGCCAGTGGAGTTATGTTCCCAGGAGAATTATGGCTGTATCTCCTGCTTTACCTAGGTCACTAGGGAAGGGGAAGGAAGCCGGCTGTCACAGTCCTCACTCCACTCCCATGCAGCCCACAGCCTGAATGGCCAGTCTCATTCCCACCTTGTCCCCACAACAGCACTGTGTTTATTTCCAGGCAGCCAGTGAGCAGGGTTGAGAATTTGCCCCAGGCTTCAAGCCTCTCAGCTGAGAAGGCAAGCAGACTCACAGTTCCTCTGCTGTAGCATAAAGCCTGCAGCGGCAATCCACCTCCTTCAAAGGGTCTGCGGATTCTCTCGACTTTCCTGGTATGTTCCCCCAGTAGTTCTTGGAACAAAATTTCATGATATAGGTCTCCACATGCAGCTCTGTCCATCCAAGTGGGAGCTGCAAGTTAGTTCTACATCCTATCTGCCATTTTCCAGACACAAATTCAGTCTTGTGTCTATTAATTTTGGAAATTTATACAGCTTCTTGACAGGCATTCCCTACCTCAGCAATTTAGTTATTTTATAGATACATTTTTACCTTCCCACATATCCTTATATTCATTTTATTTTGGAGTAAGAAGCAAAGCATAGCTACATTATGATTTGGAGTAAGAAGCAAACAATAGCCAATTACTTGATACCATCTATGAAATTGATCCTGTTTCCCTACTGATTTGAAATGCCATTTATATTATACGCTAAATTTCAATGTGTTTGAATATATTTCTAGAGTTTATTTTTTCTATTTGTCTCTTTTTATTGTGTGATTGCTATATCTTTTAAATTACTATAACTTGAAAATTATTTTAATAGTTGAACCCATCTTTAACATATTTCTGAATTATATTTGGTATTCACCCATATGTATGCTTCTAGGCATTGAAAATACACACCACTTTAATGGCAGGGGACTTTGAGAATATTTTGAGGGGAGTGAACAGAGTTGTATGAGAACTTTCCATGTTATTTTAAATGCTTTATGTCTTTGAAGTTTTATAGTGACTGTGTCATTTTTGTAAATTTTAATATGATGAAACATAACAATTATTAATAACTTTAACTTAAAAACTTTAAACAAAGTTACATATGGGAAAATGGTGCATAAAATAAACACGTAATTCAAAAATTAAAAAAATAAAAATAGCCAATGATCAGACAAAAAATAGTTAACCACAATTATAAATAAAATAAAGTAAATGAATTTTTTGCGAAACATTGGCAAAAAGTAATAAAACTCAAAATGTCAAAGAAACCAACACGAGGATTTTTTTTATCCAGTATTGTTTATAATAACACACATTTGGAACTCCCTAGATATTAATAACTGAGATTTCACTTGACTAAGTTAAGCTACACTCAAGCAATGAATATTAAAAGTTTGAAAAGCAAGATAAATATTAACATTGATTGATGGGGAAGAGTCTTTAATTGTTAAATGAGAAAAATATGTTATAGCTTTGAATGCTGTTCATATCAAAGCATGTGCATGAATGTGAGTACCTGGCCATGTATGCAGTTTTTACATAGAAATTCTTAAAATGATGTTCCAAAGACTTTCCATAAGACAAAATGGAATTTTAAAAATGCTCAAGTAATCCACAGGAAGTCAGAAAAAAGAAAATAGAAAAATGCAAATCAGAGAGAACAAATAGAAAACAAGACTAAATTTTAAAAATGGTAAATTTAAGTTCTACCAAATTAATACCTACATTAAATAAAAATGGTTTAAATATAATAACTGAAAGACAGGAATTTGTAGATAGATTTAAAAAAACAATTACACAATTGTGTGCTGTCTATAGGAAATTCATTTTAAACATAACATGATAGGCAGCTAATAAAAAATAAAAAGAGTAAAATGTATACTGTGGAAGTACATCAGAAAAACACTAATGAAAGAAAGCATTAATGAGTATATTAATATCAGATAAAGTAGGCTTCATAACCAAAAAAAAATGGGAGAAACAGATATTGTTACCAAAACACCAGGGGTTTGGTCTAGGTCTTGCTGCTCACCATACAGAGAGCCAATCACTGAAACAATGATTATTGCCAAGGAAGAAGGCTTTAATCAGATGTTGCAGCTAAGGAGATGGGAGGTCAGTCTCAAATCCATCTCCCTGACCAACTAAAATTAGGGGTTTATATAGCAAGGAAGAAATGTAATGATGTATAATAAAACAGGAACTAGGGAGGGGAAAGGAAGCAATCATGATGAATGTAGGATCTGGCATCTCATTGTCTGGATGCAGTGATTTGGTGAGTTTCAGTTCTTTGATACTTTTCAAGAGGATTGAAGGTCTTTTTCCTAAGGAAGAAACTCAGAATAAAGCAAATGCAAGTTACAAGCTTTAAGACCAGAAGGGACAATTTTTTTTTTTTTCTTGAGACACAGTCTCACTCTTATTGCCCAGGCTGGAGTGCAGTGGCGCCATCTCCGCTCACTGCAACCTCCGCCTCTGGGGTTCAAGCAATTCTCCTGCCTCAGCCTCCTGAGTAGCTGGGATTATAGGCATGCACCACCATGCCCAGTTAATTTTTTGTATTTTTAGTAGAGACGGGGTTTGATGTTGGTCAGGCTGGTTTTGAATTCCTGATCTCGTGATCCGCCCGCCTCAGCCTCCCAGAGTTCTGGGATTACAGGCATGATCCACCTTGCCCAGCCCGACAATTTTTATATTTATTTTAAAAACTGTCTATGGAACACTGGGTCAGTATTATGTACCAATAAAAGGGTCAATACAAGTAGAAGACATAGCAACCATAAATATGTATGCACTAATCAGAGCTGCAAAATATGTTAATCAAACTGATATAAATGAAGAAAAATAGACAAATCCACAATTATGGTTGAAAACTTCAATATAGCTCTCTCAAAATTGATAAAACAACTAGTCAGAAAATCAGCAAAGATACAAAAGAAGACAACAGTATTATCAATCAATAAGTGATAATCAACACTAATAAACACCAACAGCAGAATATATATATTTTTAAGTGCCCATGAAACACCATGATAGACCACCTTCAGCCACAAAACAAATAGCAAAACATTTAAAGAATTGAAATCACACAGAATATATTCTTTATTACGATGGAATTAACTTAGATATTCATAGCAAAAATATAAAGGGGAAAATCTCCAACCACATGAAAACTAAACAAAATGCTTGTAAATAATTCATGGGTCAAAGAGGAATTCTCCAAGGAAATAAAAAATACTTTGAGCAGAATAAAATGAAAATTAAAATATAACATATTCGGTTATGTGGGAAACAGTTAAGCTCATGCTGAGAAGAAAATTGAAGCACTAAATGTGTACCTTAACAAAGAGAAAAATGTTTTCCAGAAAACTGAAGAGAACACTTACCAATCTACATTATAAAGCAAGTATTAACTTGACACCAAAACTAGATATAGTACAAAAAATGAAACTATGAACAAATATCCCTATGAATATGGATGCAAAACTACAAAATAATTCAGCTCTCTCTCTCCATACACACACAGACACACACACACACACACACACACACACGCTATAAGGATACCCGAAAACGTGGAAGCAACTTTGGAACTAAGTAACAGGTATGTTAGGGACAAACCACCCCAAAAAACTTCTTGGTACTGCCAACACTTCCCCCAAACCTCTCCGTGCTGCCTACTCCTCCCCCTTATGCTCTGCAACTCTGCCCACCCTTCCCCCCCAGCCCTTTACATTTCTAAGCACTTATCTAGGCACCGCTGTGAGGCCAGCAGACTTTACCTACCAGGCCTTGCTGCAATAAACAAACCCCAATTACAAGCCATCTAGACTGCACAGGGGAAGGTCCTGGGAAGCATAAACAAACTTTACCTATACCCTCCTATAAGTTCCTTCATCTGGCTGCTACCACAAACGTCACAAGGTGATATATGGCAAAGTTAACCAACAAATGACCCCAGGGTCTGTCTCCCCCATATAAACCCCTCAGGTTTATAAACAGCTCAGGACTGCCTGCTGTCTGTGGTGGAGCAGCCAGCAGGTTCAATAAACTTACTCATCTGACTTCGGGTCTATTCTTCCTTTCTCTCAACTGACCTTACAAGGTAGAGTTTGGGACAGGTTAGAGGGCTCATTTAGGGGAAATGTGGGAAAGTTTGGAACTTCCTAGAGACTTGGAAGGCCGAGAAGATAGGAAGATGCAGGAAAGTTTGGAACTTCCTAGAGACTTGTGGAATTGCTCTGACCAAAATGCTGAGAGTGACATAGACAATGAAGTCCAGGCTGAGGTGGTCTAAGATGGAGCTGAGGAACTTCTTGGGAACTGGAGCAAAGGTGACTCTTGCCATGCTTTAGCAAACAGACTGGCAGCATTTCCCCCCTGCCCTAGAGATCTGTGGAATTTTGAACGTGAGAGATGATTTAGGGTATCTGGTGGAAGAAATTTCTAAGCAACAAAGCATTCAAGAGGCGACAGATCATCAAAGTTTGAAAAATTTGCACTCAGATAATGATGCAGTAGAAAAGAAAAACCCATTTTCTGGGGAGAAATTCAAGCCAGCTGCAGAAATTTGCATAAGTAATGAGGAGCCAAATGCTAATCACCAAGACAATGGGGAAAATGTCTCCAGGGAATGTCAGGCACCTTCTCCACAGCCCCTCCCATCACATGCCAGGAAGCCTAGGAGGAGAAACTGGTTTCATGGGCTGGGTTCAGGGACACCCCTACTGTTTGCAACCTTGAGACTTTGTGCCTCACATCCCAGCTGCTCCAACTGTGGTTTAAAGGGGTCATGGTTGTCCAGCCTCTGAGCCCAAGCTAAACCATCATATCCCCTGTGACCTGCACATACACATCCAGATGGGCGATTCCTGCCTTAACTGATGACATTCCACCACAAAAGAAGTGAAAATGGCCTGTTCCTGCCTTAACTGATGACATTACCTTGTGAAATTCCTTCTCTTGGCTCATCCTGGCTTAAAGCTCCCCCGCTGAGCACCTTGTGACCCCCCCCCCAACCCCTGCCCGCCACAGAACAAACCCCCTTTGACTGTAATTTTCCTTTATCTACCCAAATCTTATAAAATGGCCCCACCCCTATCTCCCTTCGCTGGCTCTCTTTTCGGACTCAGCCCACCTGCCCCCAGGTGAAATAAACAGCCTTGTTGCTCGCACAAAGCCTGTTTCGTGGTCTCTTCACATGGATGCGAGTGAAATTTTGGTGCCGTGACTCGGATCGGGGGACCTCCCTTGGGAGATCAATCCCCCGTCCTGCTCTTTGCTCCGTGAGAAAGATCCACCTACGACCTCTGGTCCTCAGACCGACCAGGCCAGGGAACATCTCACCAATTTTAAATCAGGTAAGCGACCTCTTTTTACTCTCTTCTCCAACCTCTCACTATCCATCAACCTCTTTCTCCTTTCAATCTTGGCACCATCTTTCAATCTCTCCCTTCTCTTAATTTCAGTTCCTTCCCTTTTCTGGTAGAGACAACTCAGGAGATGCATTTTATCCATGAACCCAAAACTCCGGCGCCAGTCACAGACTCGGGAAGGCAGCCTTCCCTTGGTGTTTAATCACGTGGGGATACCTGCCTGATTATTCACACACATTTCAGGTGTGTCTGACCACGCGGGGACGCCTGCCTTGGTCCTTCACCCTTAGCGGCAAATGCCGCTTTTCTGGGGGACAAGAACCCCCTGACCCCTTCTCTCCGTGTCTCTACTCTCTCTTTTCTCTGGACTTGCCTCCTTCACTATGGGCAACCTTCCACCCTCCATTCCTCCCTCTACTCCCTTAGCCTGTGTTCTCAAGAACTTAAAACCTCTTCAACTCACACCTGACCTAAAACCTAAATGCCTTATTTTCTTCTACAATGCAATCTGACCACAATACAAACTCGACAGTGGTTCCAAATAGCCAGAAAAAGGCGCTTTCGATTTTTCCATCCTACAAGATCTAAATAATTCTTGTCATAAAATGGGCAAACGGTCTGAGGTGCCTGACATCCAGGCATTCTTTTACACATCAGTGCCTCCCTAGTCTCTGTTCCCAATGCGACTAGTCCCAAATCCTCCTTCTTTCCCTCCCGCCTGTCCTCTCAGTCCCAACCCTAAGGGTCGCTGAGTATTTGTAATCTTCCTTTTCTACAGACCCATCTGACTTCTCCCCTCCTCCCCAGGCTGCTCCTCGCCAGGCCAAGCCAGGTCCCAATTCTTCCTCAGCCTCTGCTCCCCCACCCTGTAACCCTTTTATCACCTCCCCTCCTCACACCCGGTCCAGCTTACAGTTTCGTTCAGCAACTAGCCCTCCCCGACCTGTCCAGCAATTTCCTCTTAAAAAAGGTGGCTGGAGCTAAAGGCATAGTCGAGGTTAATGCTCCTTTTTCTTTATCCGACCTCTCCCAAAATCAGTTAGCATTTAGGCTCTTTTTCATCAAATATGAAAAACCCAGCCCAGTTCATGGCTCATTCGGCAGCAACCCTGAGATGCTTTATAGCCCTAGACCCTAAAAGGTCAAAAGGCCATCTTATTCTCAATATACATTTTATTACCAAATCC
The DNA here is from genome assembly GCF_000001405.40 of Homo sapiens. Lineage (NCBI taxonomy): Eukaryota > Metazoa > Chordata > Mammalia > Primates > Hominidae > Homo > Homo sapiens. The sequence goes on from NC_000002.12 coordinate 188,035,263, forward strand.
GCTCCTGACATTAAATAAAACTCCAAAAATTAAATTCCGGCCCTCAAACCCCACAAACAAGACATAATTAACCTCGCCTTCAAGGTGTACAATAATAGAGTAGAGGAAGCCAAGTAGCAATATATTTCTGAGTTGCAATTCCTTGCCTCCACTGTGAAAGAAACCCCAGCCACATCTCCACACACAAGAACTTCCAAACGCCTGAACTGCAGCTGCCAAGGTTTACTCCGGAAATCTGGCCACTGGGCCAAGGAATGCCCACAGCCCGAGATTCCCCCTAAGCCGTGTCCTGTCTGTGCGGGACCCCACTGAAAATCGGACTCTTCAACTCACCTGGCAGCCGCTTCCAGATCCCCTGGAACTCTGGCCCAAGGCTCTCTGAGTGACTCCTTCCCAGATCTTCTCGGCTTAGCAGCTGAAGACTGACACTGCCCAATCGCCTTGGAAGCCTACAGGACAATCACAGATGCTCTGGGTAACTCTCACAGTGGAGGGTAAGTCCATCCCCTTCTTAATCAATACGGAGGCTACCCACTCCACATTACTTCTTTTCAAGGGCCTGTTTCCCTTGCCTCCATAACTGTTGTGGGTATTGACGGCCAGGCTTCTAAACCTCTTAAAACTCCCCAACTCTGGTGCCCACTTAGACAACATTCTTTTATACACTCTTTTTTAAGTTATCCCCACCTGCCCAGTTCCCTTATTAGGCCAAGACATTTTAACTAAATTATCTGTTTCCCTGACTATTCCTGGACTACAGCAACACCTCATTGCCACCCTTTTCCCCATTTCAAAGCCTCCTTCACATCCTCCTCTCGTATCCCCCCACCTTAACCCACAAGTATAGGACACCTCTACTCCCTCCTTGGTGACTGGTCATGCACCCCTTACCATCCCATTAAAACCTAATCACCCTTACCCCCCTCAATGCCAATATCCCATCCCACAGCATGCTTTAAAAGGATTAAAGCCTGTTATCACTTGCCTGTTACAGCATGGCCTTTTAAAGCCTATAAACTCTCCTTACAATTCCCCCATTTTACCTGTCCTAAAACCAGACAAGGCTTACAGGTTAGTTCAGGATCTGCGCCTTATCAACCAAATTGTTTTGCCTATCCACCCTGTGGTGCCAAACCCATATACTCTCCTAGCCTCAATGCCCCCCTCCACAACCCATTATTCTGTCTGGATTTCAAACATGCTTTCTTTACTATTCCTTTGCACCCTTCATCCCAGCCTCTCTTCGCTTTCACTTGGACTGACCCTGACACCCATCAGGCTCAGCAAATTACCTGGGCTGTGCTGCCGCAAGGCTTCACAGACGGCCCCCATTACTTCAATCAAGCCCAAATTTCTTTCAATCAAGCCCAAATTTCTTCCTCATCTGTTACTTATCTCGGCGTAATTCTCATAAAAACACACATGCTCTCCCTGCCGATTGTGTCCAACTGATCTCTCAAACCCCAACACCTTCTACAAAACAATAACTCCTTTCCTTCCTAGGCATGGTTAGATACTTTCGACTTTAGACACCTGGTTTTGCCATCCTAACAAAACCATTATATAAACTCACAAAAAGAAACCTATCTGACCCCATAGATCCTAAATCCTTTCCCCACTCCTCTTTCCGTTCCTTGAAGACAGCTTTAGAGACTTCCCCCACCCTAACTCTCCCTGACTCATCAGAACCCTTTTCATTACCCACAGCTGAAGTGCAGGACTGTGCAGTCAGAATTCTTACACAAGAACTGGGACCACACCCTGTAGCCTTTTTATCCCAACAACTTGACCTTACTGTTTTGCCTAGCCCTCAAGTCTGCGTGCGGCAGCTGCCGCTGCCCTAATACTTTTAGAGGCCCTTAAAATCACGAACTATGATCAACAGTTCTCATAACTTCCAAAATCTATTTTCTTCCTCACACCTGACACATATACTGTCTGCTCCCTGGCTTCTTCAGCTGTACTCACTCTTTGTTGAGTCTCCCACAATCACCACTGTTCCTGGCCCGGACTTCAATCCAGCCTCCCACATTATTCCAGATACCACACCTGACCCCCACGACTGTATCTCTCTGATCCACCTGACATTCACCCCATTTCCCCATATTTCCTTCTTTCTTGTTCCTCACCCTGATCACACTTAGTTTATTGATGGCAGTTCCCACCAGGCCTAATCGCCACACACCAGCAAAGGCAGGCTATGCTATAGTACAAGCCACTACCCCGCCTCTTAGAACCTCTCATTTCATTTCCATCGTGGAAATCTATCCTCAAGGAAATAACTTCTCAGTGTTCCATCTGCTATTCTACTACTCCTCAGGGATTATTCTGGCCCCCTCCCTTCCCTACACATGAAGCTCGGAGATTTGCCCCCACCCAGGACTGGCAAATTAGCTTTACTCAACATGCCCCAAGTCAGGAAACTAAAATACCTCTTGGCCTGGGTAGACATTTTCACTGGATAGGTAGAGGACTTTCCCACAGGGTCTAAGAAGGCCACCATGGTCATTTCTTCCCTTCTGTCAGACATAATTCCTCAGTTTGGGCTTCCCACCTCTTCACAGTCTGATAACAGACCAGCGTTTATTAGTCAAATCAGCCAAGCATTTTTTCAGACTCTTGGTATTCAGTGAAACCTTTACATCCCTTACCATCCTCAATCTTCAGGAAAGGTAGAATGGACTAATGGTCCTTTAGAAACACACCTCACCAATCTCAGCCACCAACTTAAAAAGGACTGTACAATACTTTTACCACTTGCCCTTCTCAGAATTCAGGCCTGTCCTCGGAATGCTACAGGTTATAGCCCATTTAAGCTCCTGTATGGATGCTCCTTTTTATTAGGCCCCAGTCTCATTCCAGATACCAGACCAACTTGGACTGTGCCCCAAAAAACTTGTCATCCCTACTATCTTCTCTCTAGTCATACTCCTATTCACTGTTCTCAACTACTCCTGCATGCCCTGCTCTTGTTTACACTGCCGGTTTACACTGTTTCTCCAAGCCATCACAGCTGATATCTCCTGGTGCTATCCCCAAACTGCCACTCTTAACTCTTAACGTAAATAAATAATCTTTGCTGGCAAGGCTATGCTGAACCTCCTTAGGCACTCTCTAATTAGATGTCCTGGGTCCTCCCAATTCTTAGTCCTTTAATACCTGTTTTTCTCCTTCTCTTATTCCATTTAGTTTTCAATTCATACAAAACCATATCCAGGCCATCACCAATAATTCTACACAACAAATGTTTCTTCTAACAACCCCACAATATCACCCCTTACCACAAAATCTTCCTTCAGCTTAATCTCTCCCACTCCAGGTTCCCATGCCGCCCCAATCCCGCTCGAAGCAGTCCTGAGAAACATCACCCATTATCTCTCCATACCACCCCCAAAAATTTTCGCCGCCCCAACACTTTACAACTATTTCGGTTTTTTTTTTTTCTTATTAATATAAGAAGACAGGAATGTCAGGCCTCTGAGCCCAAGCTAAGCCATCATATCCCCTGTGACCTGCACATACACATCCAGATGGCCAGTTCCTGCCTTAACTGATGAGATTCCACCACAAGAGAAGTGAAAATGGCCTGTTCCTGCCTTAACTGATGACATTACCTTGTGAAATTCCTTCTCCTGGCTCACCTGGCTCAAAAGCTCCCCCGCCAAGCACCTTGTGACCCCCACCCCTGACCACCAGAGAACAACCCCCCTTTGACTGTAATTTTCCTTTACCTACCCAAATCTTATAAAATGGCCCCACCCCTATCTCCCTTCGCTGACTCTCTTTTTTGGACTCAGCCCACCTGCACCTGGCTGAAATAAACAGCCTTGTTGCTCACACAAAGCCTGTTTGGTGTTCTCTTCACAGGGACGTGAGTAAAAATGGTACAGCTCAGGCCATGGATTCAGAGGGTGCAAGCCCCAAGCCTTGGCAGCTTCCATGTGGTGTTGAGCTTGCAGGTACACAGAAGTCAGGAATTGAGGTTGGGAACCTCCACCTAGATTTCAGAGGATGTATGGAAATGCCTGGACGTTCAGGCGGAAGTTTGCTGCAAAGGTGGTCCCTCATGGAGAACCTCTGCTAGGGCAGTGCAGAAGGTAAATGTGGGGTTGGAGTCCACACACAGAGTCCCAAATGGGGAACTCTCTACTGGAGCTGTGAGAGAAGGCCCACTGTCCTTCAGACCCCAAAATGGTAGGTCCACTGATCCACCTGTAAAGGCCACAGACACTCAGTGCCAGCCAGCTAAGCAGCCAGGAATGGGGCTGTACCCTTTGAAGCCACAGGGGCTGAGCTTCCCAAGGCTGTTGGAGTCCACCTCTTACATCAGTGTGACCTGGATGTGACACATGGAGCCAAAAGAGATCATTTTGCAACTGTAAGATTTGGTGATGCCCTGTTGAAGTTTGGACTTTCATGGGGCCTATAGCCCCTTTGTTTTGGCCAACTTCTCCCATTTGGAATGGGCATATTTACCCAATGCCTGTACCCCCATTTTATCTAAAAAGTAACTGACTTGCTTTCAGATTTACAGGCTCATAGGCAGAAGGGACTTGCCTTGTTTCAGATGAGACTTTTGACTTGAACTTTGGGATTAATGCTGGAATGAGCTAAGACTTTGGGGGACTGTTGAAAAGGCATGATTGTGTTTGTAAGGACATGACATTTAGGAGGGACCAGGGTTGGAATGATATGGTTTTGCTCTGTGTCCCCACTGAAATCTCATCTTGATTTGTAATTCCCATAATCCCCACATATCATGGGAGGGACCTAGTGGGAGGTAATTGAATCCTGGGAGCAGTTCCCTCATGCTGTTCATGTGATAGTGAGTGAGTTCGCACAAGAACTGATGGTTTTATAAGGGGCCTTTCCCCACTTCACTTGGCACTTCTCTTCCCTGCCACTATGGGAGGAGACCACCCCTCATATTGTCTTATGCCCAATTTCTGCCTCCAAAGAAAGAAGAAGTAAAAACTAAAAGGCAGAAATGAAATCCATAGGCAGGCAGCCCGACGCCACATCCTGGGCCTGGTAGTTAAAGATCGACCCCTGACCTAATCAGTTATGTTATCTATAGAGTACAGACATTGTATAGAAAAGCACTGTGAAAAATCCCTGTCCTTTTCTGTTCTGTTCTAATTACCAGTGCATGCAGCCCCCAGTCACGTACCCCCTGCTTGCTCAATCGATCACGACCCTCTCACGTGGACCCCCTCACGTGGACCACCTTAGAGTTGTAAGCCCTTAAAAGGGACAGGAATTGCTCACTCGGGGAGCTCAGTTTTTGGAGATGTGAGTCTGCCGATGCTCCCAGCTGAATAAAGCCCTTCTTTCTACAACTCAGTGTCTGAGGGATTTTGTCTGCGTCTTGTCCTGCTACACCACCAGGTGAAGAAGGAAGTGTTTGCTTCTTCTTCCACCATGATTGTAAGTGTGCTGAGGCCTCCCAAGGCATGTGGAATGGTGAGTCAATTAAACCTCTTTCCTTTATAAATTACTCAGTCTTGTTTATGTTCTTATAGCAGCATGAAAATGAACTAATACAGTAAATAAATAAATATATACATGCACACACACAAACACCATGACCAAATGATCAAGTCAAGTCTATTTCAGGGATAAGCGCAAGGTAATTTCAATATTCACAAATGTAAATCAATATTCACCACAACAGGTTAAAGAAGAAAAATCACATAATTATGCCAATTGATGCAGAAAAAGCATTTGAAAAAGTCAGCACCCATCCATGATAAATAGTTCTCAGAAAAACAGGAATAGAGAGAAACTTCCTCAACATGATAAAGGCATTAAAAAATCTATATCTAATTTAGCACTTTGTTGTGAACAGATGAGAAAGGAAAAAATAAAACTGTTCTTACTTGGAGATGGCATAATTATCTACATAAAAACAAAACAAAAAATCTGCAAGAAGATACCTTCTAGAGTCAATATGTAAGTTCACATAAATATATGAAAATAAATTGCATTTATGTACTAGCAACACACATGTCAAAATATCCAGTCAATAGTCTAGTCATGATATTAATATATAGTTTTACAAGATGTTACTATTGGGGAAAACTGGGTAAAGGAACAAGGGATATTTCCCTGTAATTTCTAAGAACTGCATATAAATCTACAATTACCTCAAAAGTTTAAATTAAAAAGGTGTTTAGTTTAACTGTTTACAATGGCCTGCTTCGATTTGGAGAAAATTTTACTCTTATTATTTCTTCTATTGCTTTAATTTTCTGCCTAATTATGTATTCACATTATAATCAGTAAAAAATATTTTACTTCAGAAAAAAAGCAGACAAAGTATGCAAAAACATAAAGAAAAACATCATAAAAATGCTTTATGAATAAATTATAAATTTCAGGTAGTGCTAGAAAGGGTAGTTCTTATACAGATATTTAAAGAACATGTAGATGTAACATGAATAGAATCAAAAAGGATTATCTCCATGGAGCTAAAGTAACATTTTAAGAAGAGCATACTTAAAATACATTTTAAAAAATAATTTTCTTTTAAAAAAAGAAACTTGGGAGCATTTTTAAATTTTCTTTGTACGTTAAACTGTGTGATTAATTAGAAATTTAGAAGATCTAACAGGGCAAATATCTGATTATCATATGAATATGGAAAGTGGGCAAGAAGTTACACTGAATATTCTGTTAGCTCTCAAGAGCAAGGGGAAAAACAATTCTAGAGATTCAGTCTTTGCAGTAGAAAAAACTAAACATACATTGCATCATTGTGTAGCAGAGTCTAATGTTAGAGAAGGCAAATGGAGAATCCCAACAACACCCACGTTATAGTTATAAATGAGTCTGTGCAATGGAGATTTTTGATTTTGATGTAAAATTTGGTACAGATGAATCGCTGAGGTGCAGTTTAAAGAAGGTATATAAAGTATGAATACTACAGTATCCTTTGACATTCCCTTTTTGAACATGCAGCTTCAAGCAGATATTTTCCATTCCAAATGAAGGAAACTAAATTCAAAATAGTTTAATCTAAACATGGGATGGATTGGAAGGATATAAGATAGCTGCAAAAATTAAAGGAAGAACTGCAGGAACCGGGCATCTCAGAGGCATTAGAGTATGAATCTGAGGATTTGTTCCTGTAAGACTCCTTCTGCTTCTTGTATACTTCTTGGGCTTTGTCACATGAAAAAGACTTGCTCCCTGAAGGGTTTTTTAGACTACATTTAATACTTGATATCCAAAAGAGAAGAGAGAATTCTTCCTGCTAGTTCTACTTAGAAAAACCCCACAGAACTCTGCTTTTCCTAACTTGAATCATGTGACTACTCCCATACTGGCAATTTGGCCAGATTAATGAATGCTAGCCATGACTCACCTCACTTATGTCACATATCCAACCTACAAGAAGGAGAGAGAAATGTTCTGGGCAGACTAAAATAATGTGTTCTACAGAGACAACATTATAAGCAGGATCAGAGGAAAGTGACATAAGGATAAACTGACTTGAGAAAGAAAGTGAGAAAATAGCCAGAGGGTTCTTTCCCTTGTTTTATTTTTGCCATATTTTTTCCACTGGGGCACTCAAATATTCTCTTCTTTTTTTGTTCATAAAAGACTAGCATTGAGAATTTCATTTAATTAGCCCAAATGTGTTAAATGAGAACGATTTCAAAAAATGGACTCTTTCCTTATTCTTAATTATTATAGTAAACATAAAAGCAAATCACACTTTTTCAGTATTGAAAATAAATAGTAGACACTAGATAACAGAGTACTTGGTAATAATTTGTGGGGAAATAATTACTATGGCTACGGTTTGAATGTATTTGTCCCTCCCAAAACTCATGTTGAAATTTAATCCCCAGTGCAACAATGTTGAGTGGTGAGACCTAACAGGAGATTTTTAGGTAGTGAGGTTCAATCCTCTTGAATGGATTAATGCCACAATAAAAAGGACTTGTTAAGTGGGTTCTTTCTCTTTTGCTTTTCTGCCACATGAGGATATAACATTTGTATCCATAGCAAGAAGGCCCTCACTAGACACCAGATGCCAGCACTTTAATATTTAACCTCTCAGTGGTTAAAAGGACAGTGAGAAATAAGTCTTTGTTCTTTACAAATTACCCAGTTTGTCATATATACCCAAAGGAATATAAATCATTCTATTGTAAAGACACATGCACATGTATGCTTATTGAGGCACTATTTCCAATAGCAAAAACACAGAATCAACACAAATGCCCATTAATGATAGACTGGATAAAGAAAACGTGGTACCTATACACCATGGAATACTATGCTGCCATGAAAAAAGAGAGTTCACGTCCTTTCCAGGGACACGGATGAAGCTGGAAGCCATCATCCTCAGCAAACTAACACAGGAACAGAAAACCAAACACTGCATGTTCTCACTCATAAGTGGGAGTTGACATTAAGAACACACGGACACAGAGAGGGAAACAATACACACCAGGGCCTGTTGGGGGTGAGGGGTGAGGGGAGGGAACTTAGTGGATAGGTCAATATGTGCAGCAAACCACCATGGCACTCGTATACCTATGTAACAAACCTAAACATTCTGTACATATATCCTGTTATTCTTTTTTAGAAGAAATAAAGAAAAAACATAAATTACCCAGTTTGTCATATTGTGTTATAGCAACATAAAACTAAGACAGAAGTGGGTACCAGGAGTTGGGAGTTGCTATGACAACTAAAAATGTGGAAGTGGCTTTGGAACTGGGTAATAAATAGAGGCTGAAATAATTTGAAGGAACAATATAGAAAAAACCTATATTGCCATGAACAGAGCATTAAAGGTGATTCTGGTGAGGGCTCAGAAGAGGATAGCTGTAGAGGGAGCCTAATTCTTAGAAGTTTTTCTAGGTGATTATGAACAGAATGTTCATAGAAATATGTACAGTAAAGGCCATTCTGATAAGGTCTCAGACAGAGATGAGGAACAAGACATTGGGAACTGGAGGAAAAGCCATCTGTGATGGTTAATATTGAGTGTCAACTTCATTGGACTGACGGATGCAAAGTATTGTTCCTGGGTGTGTCTGTGAGGGTGTTGCCAAAGAGATTAATATTTGAGTCAGTGGACTGGGGGAGCAGACCCACCCTCTGTCTGGGTGGGCACCATCTAATTAGCTGCCTGTGTGAGCAGGATAAAGCAGGCAGAAGAAATTGGAAAGAGCAGACTTGCTGAGCCTTCTGGCCTTCATCTTTTTCTGTGCTGGATGCTTCCTGCCCTCAAACATCAGACTCCAATTTCTTCAGCTTTTGGAGTCTTGGACTTTGTATTAGTCTGTTCTCATGCTGCTAATAAAGACATACCCAAGACTAGGAAAAAGAGGTTTAATGAACTCACAGTTCTACATGGCTGGGGGAGCCTCACAGTCATGGCAGAAGGCAAAAGAGGAAAAAGGCATGTCTTACATGGCAGCAGGCAAGAGAATGAGTGCCAGCAGAGGAAATGCCAGACACTTACAAAACCATCAGATCTCGAAAGAACTCACTATCATAAGAACAGTATGGGGAAAGCTGCCACCTGGTCCCCGCCCTTGACATCTTGGGGATTATTACAATTCAAAGTGAGATTTGGGTGGGGACACAGAACCAAACCATATCAGACTTACACCAGTGAATTGCAAGGGGCTCTTGGGCCTTCAGCTACAGACTGAAGGCTGTACTCTTGGCTTCCCTACTTTTGAGGTTTTGGGACTTGGACTGGCTTCCTTGCTCCTCAGCTTGCAGATGGCCTATTGTGGGACTTCATCTCATGATCATGTAAGTCAATACTACTGAATAAACTCCCTTTCATATATACATCTATTCTATTAGTTTTGGCCCTCTAGAGAAGCCTAACTAATACACAACTTTCATTGTAAAGTGGCAAAAACAAATAAATAAATAAATCTGGGCTGAATTTTGTCCAAGCCCAAGGGCTTTGTAGAAGGCAGAATTTAAGAGTAATGAACTGGGATATTTGGCAGAAGAAATATCTAAACAGCAAAATATTGAAGATGGTGCATGACTTCTTTTAGCTGCTTATAGTAAAATTCAAGAACTGGGAACAAAGAGGGAATTTGTAATTAAACTGGAAACAGAACACAAAAATTTTGAAAAATTTTCATCCCAGTCATGTAAAAAAAATTAAAAAGCAACTTTAGAAAAAAAAAAAAAGGCCGGGCACAGTGGCTCATGCCTCTAATCCAAGCACTTTGGGAGGCCGAGGCTGGCGGATCACCTGAAGTCAGGAGTTCGAGACCAGCCTGGCCAACATGGTGAAACCCTGTCTCTACTAAAAATACAAAAAATTAGCCAAGCGTGGTGGCGGGAGCCTGTAATCCCAGCTACTAGGGAGGCTAAGGCAGGTGAATGGCTTGAGCCCAGAGACAGAGGTGGCAGTGAGCCGAGATCGCGCCACTGCACTCCAGCTTGGGCTACAAGAGTGAGACTGTCTCAAACAAACAAACAAACAAACAAAACTAAGGGTGTGGCCAGAGATCATTTGATAAGGATATTAATATAAGTAGAAGGAATCCAGGTGCTATTCATCAAAACAATGGAGGAATGACTTTGAAGACATTTTGGAGTCTTTTGAGGCTCCAATGCCCATCACATGCCCAGAGTTACAGGGCCTTGAGGGCAGAAAGTTTTCAAGAGAAGATCCTAGGGCACATGTGTGACCTTGAGTCTCACTACCCAGAAACCACTTTAGATTGCTGCTGTCTGCATTCCAATGCAGTGCTTTTTGGCTTTTTCAGCTGTAGCTCAGGCATACCCAAGTGTGGCTCAAGCCATAGCTTCAGAGATTGGAAGTGGTAAGCCTTGGTGGTGTCTACATGCTGCTAATTCTGTAGGCACACAAAATTATAGAGAAATAGCTTCCTCTACCCAGATTTCAAAGGCCATCTCAAACAGCTTCAGGGCTGCCACAGACAGCCCTCAATAGGGTGATGTCCAGTGGAGTCGTGGGAGCAGGGTGCCCCAGAGATCCCATAATTGTGGAGCCAAATGTGTGCAACATCAGCCTGGAAGGGCCATAGTCACCTTACTTCAGCCTATGAGAGTGATACGAGCTGCACCCAGCAAAGTCACAGAAGCAGGTCTGACAGAGGCCTTGGGGCCCTAAACTTTATTTCAGTGTGTCCAGGACATAGAATCAAAGGTAATTATTCTGGATCTTTAAGATCTAACGTAGTTTGCCCTCTTGTGTTTTAGACTTACTTGGGACGTGTTGTTCCTTTCTTCTTTCCTATTTCTCCCTTTGGAATGGTAATATCCATCCTATGCTGTCTCATCATTGTATTTTGGAAGCATATAAATTCTGTTATTTCAGAAGCTCACAGCTGGAGGAAAATATGCCTCAGGATGAATCATGCCTGGAATCTCACTCATATCTGATTTAGATAAAACTCTGGATTTGGGAATTTTAAAGTCATGCTGTAACAAATTAAGACTTAGGCTACTGGAATGGAATGGATGTATTTTGTGTATAAGGATGAAATGAATTTGGGGGTGCCAAGGGCAGAATTCAATAGTTTGAATTTTTTTATTCCTTCCAAAACGAATGTTGAAACTTAATCCCCAAAGTAACAATGTTGGGAGATGGGAAGTCTTTAGGTTATGAGGGCTCAACCTTCATGAATGGATTAATTGCACTGTAGAAAGGGCTTGTGGGAGTGAGCTCTTTTTCTTTCACTCTTCTGCAATGTGAGATCACAGTGTTCATCCCTGCTTGCGCTTCTGCCTTCCACCACATAAGGAGGCAGCAAGAAGGCCCTCACCAGACACCACATGCCAGTGCCTTGACTGGGGACCTCTCAGCCTTCAGAACTGTGAGAAATAAATTTCTGTTCTTTATAAATTATCCAGTGTGCAGTATTTTGTTATAGCAGCACAAAATGGACTAAGAAAACCACCAAAGAAGTAAATTATTTTTGGAAATTCCAGGTTAAATGATGAATATGTGTTTAACTTTTTCTATCACTAATCACTTAATACAATATGAAAATTATTAACTAACAAATAGCTACAATACCACATTCACACAGAGATTTAATGTTAACCTACCAGGCTTGCAATACACCCCCACAATGCCTTACAAATTGTGGAACACAATTAATACCAAAGAGAGAAGCCAATGTTATAAGACTAATCTGAGTAATGGAAGTTGGGGATGTCTTTTGGAAACTCACGAATTTACCAGAAGTATTTTATCTGGAAAACTTTGTAACTATAAAAAGTATCATACATGTTTACTTTTTTCCCTAAGAAACACTATGTAATTTATTCACTATATTTCACTGGATTTAGAGATTTTACGTTTGGTAATTTGAAATATTTTGTTACTGGCAATAAAATTTAGAAAGGAACCTTTCTATCCCTTGCAGAGGGCTATTGGGATTTCAGTATTAGTATCTGGAAATCTATTTTCACTCCTTTTAAAAGGTGTTAAAAATAAATTTTCTAGTCAGAAAAATAGCCTCATGATTAAATGAATTAAAATATTCTCTGCATCTAGCAGATGCCATAAGTAATCCATTGTAAGTTTTTGCAACTTCGTTTCCACATACCTTATATCATCTAACACACAGCCGATTTATTACCTCACCATAGGAACTATAAGACATGAAAGACTTCAAGGTCTGTGTTAATGCCAATTCCATAATAGACTCAGCATGTTGTTAAGTGCTGGTCTATATTAACTAAGAGCTAGCAGTTTTTCTTATTTATTTTCAACATGTTAATGTGTTTTTTTTGAGATGGGAATGACTCATCTCAAATTCAGTCTATAGTGCAAAATGTAAGAAAAATTCCATAGGTAAAACTGTTATTTAACATAACAACAGAAGGAGAAAAAAAACAAAGCAAAAACCCAAAACTTGTATCAAAATTAAAAACCTATCAGATCTTTTCTTCATAATTACATAAGAATAATAAAATGTAAGAAAACTAAAATGCAAGTAATTATTGTTTTAAAAGTCATTCTGAGGGCATTATGAGTATTTATTTTAAGAGCAACAAGCAGTACAATAACTTTGTGAAAAGCAAGTGAAGATAGGTTTGGGAAAGTCCAAACTAAACCTCATCTAAGAAACATGTAGGGAGACTTATAAACAGAAATGTTTTTAGAGTTTCAAATAGCTGGGCTCTTTTACTACCCTCTTAATAGAAAAGTTATATATTATTTTGTTTGTGCTCTTTGAACATCCCTGACTCTTATATAGACACCTGAGGTAATTAGAATAGGTGATTATCACACCCAACTTAAATGTGAGAAAACTAACAAGTCTGTCACCGAAAGAATAGACTAGAACCAAATCTTTTAATTCTAAACATAATATGCTTCACAGCTCAATTTGCTCTCAAAAGTTTAGACGTAGAGACAGCTGTGTGAGACAATATTAATAACATTGAAGGAGATTAAATTTCTTCACCATGTATTAAATATTTCCCACAAAAATCTGTTTTATCCTATTCTTAATCAGTCCAAAAAGCCTCTCTCCTTTATGAATTAATTACTTGAAAATGAGTAGTACAAAAATTTGTAAAACATAAGATGTCACTAGAATGCTTTTAAATGATAGTTACTCCTTGTTTATCTCATGATTTTTTAAACATCAAGTGTCATAATTCCTATAGGTCACTATCCCATTTCTTACATTCTAATTAAATTATACAGAATTAAATTAACATAAATGTTCAAAGCAGAGGACACACCCAGATTTAGAGATTATATGAGTTCATCAGATTTCAGAATTTCTTTAAAAGATTAATTTCTTACCAACATATGAAACTCTTGTTATCTAGTGAAATGCTAATTGTTTTGATTTTTATAAAGTTCATATTCTAGTGACTCCAAGATAGGACATTTGGTTACATTAACACATATCAACCCAGATATGTGCTAAAACAAGGGTATTTCATAAAGGGTGTAATACTAGACACCTGACAGTGGTATTTGCTCAGTTCTACAAAGTTTTATAAACAGTGAAAAGATTCATTGTCAGTGTTTGCTTTATCTACAAGAGTGATTACTTTAAAAACTGATTTAACAATAACCAGTTGAAATTTTTTGTTTGTTTTTATATTTCCCCAGGTATCAAAATACTGTATGTAATTGAGGGATGGAAATAGTTGCATTTGTTGCTTACCTATTAAGTGCCAACAACTTTATTAACTTTACACATTTTTATCACATTTAAACATTCCACTGATACCAATCTTTACTCCTTAAAAGATTTCTGGACATATCACAGATCAAGTTACCACAAAGAATCAGGAATCTACGTTGGAAAATCATTTCATTCTTTAGGTAGTTACAATAATGTTATCCCACTAAAGCCCTTTGGCTGCCTCAAATCTTGAACAAAATTGCAACAATACAGAGAACGTATACAACCTTTAAAGAAATAACTAGGTAACACACACAGAGAGAAATGACCGTTAGCATATGGACAATGAACACTGATGTTTCTCATTCATTTTAATTATTCTGCCATCTAAATGCCAATTTCCACAGGTGGAGGGCTTGGTGGGTATGCAGGATTGATTATGAAGTGGTAGCTGGCTGCTCCTAACTGTTTTGTGCCAGTTAACAGTTTTCCTGGAATTGACTGCAACTAATACCCACTGCATTTATCTTCTCAAGAAAATATGGCATCCTATTCTAGATAAAATGAAAAAAACAAACAGCTACTACCCAAAATATTTCTCAAATTGAAAATACTGTGTAAAGGATAATTTTTAAAACCCAAGAAATAATACTGTAGTGATGTGACATACTAAAAAGACTTTCTGTTAGTCACAAGCAGTCATTCTTTCATTCTGAATAATCTGTATTAAACAAAAATTAAACAAATAGTGCCTGACGGGTAGGAAACATCAAATATCTTGTTATGGATTGAATGTTTGTGTACCCCCTCATGCTCATATATTGAAGACCCCCAGTGCAATTATGTTTAGAGATGAGTTCTCTAAGAAAGTAATTAAGGTAAAAGGAGGTCATGAATGGATCCTTGATCCAATAAGATTAGTGTCCTTATAAGAAGAGACACTAGAGAGCTCATGTGAGCACACAGCAAGGTGACAGCCATTTGTAAGCCAAGAAGACCCTCACTAGAAATGGAATTTGCTGTCACCTTGATATTGGATTCCTCAGCATCCAGAACTGTGAGAAAATAAATTTCTATTGTTTCAGCAATGCAGTGTGTGGTATTTTGTTATAGCAGCCTGAGAAGATTCATTATATGTCTTCTTCCCATATACTCTTTTTTTTTTTAAATAGGAGGCCAAGATTTTTAGTGTTCTCTTGAGGAACAATCAGATAAGCATATCTTGAAAGAGGAAGCTGACAGTGTTACAATTTGAATATAGACTAGAGTGAGGTAACAAAAATAACAAACAAATAAACAAAAAAGCCCCCATGTTTATTTCTCATTCAGTTAACCAATGTTTATTTAATACTGCTATGTATTGGACCTGATCTATATATAAAAATAAGCTAGATCGAAATAATATGTCAAAACTCTAACCCACAAGAATGTTGCAGTAAATGAACAAACAGCTGTAAGGCAATATGAACAGATAAAGAATGTGCCAAGGAGGCAGAAAGGAATGAGCAATTAATTCTGTTGGTGTGGGTTTTGTTAATGTTTTGCAGAAGAGGTGGTATAAGAGCTGAGTCCTTTAGGGCATTGCCAGAATAAACAAGGAGGAAAGACAATTATAGGCAATGGCCTTGGGGTTTGTAGCAACATCTTGATGAGAGGGCAGAAATGAAGAGAATTCTTAGAATAAACTGTCGCTAGAATTATCCATATAATTCACTGAGACTGATTATATTAAGGATCATCTTTCTTTCTGCAGAAGAAGGAATGCTTAAGTAGGTTCACCAGGTTTATACCACAGGAATGAAGAGGATAGTCTCTGGCTGAGATTTTCAAAAATAAACTGGCCGCCCATTTTGAGGTCCCAAATAATACATTTGAGAAGCCTGTCCACTCAGTTAACATCAGTCATCATCATCTATTTACTGATTCCCTGTGTTAATTTGTTTCACATTAACTCACAGATTGCCCTTGACAAATGATTCCTCTTTTGTATGCCAGACACATACTTACATACATACATCCACACATAGAGAATGAAGAGAAAGGAGACCCACATTCAGAGCACTGCTTTTCTTACTAATGTCATCAGATCTAAGATGGTTTGGTGTAAAATCTTCCTTTGCTTTAAGTTACCTAAATGGGGTTTTCATATGCTAAGCACCCAGAAGCATTCAAATTGAGAGGGCCGTTTTCCTCAAAGTTTAGACTATTCAACTTTATAGAGTAGGCTCCTTCTTCTCATTGATATACCTAATCACCCAAGATATCAGGTTTTATTAACATATTGAATAATCAGTTTTGCCTATTTGTTTCATTAGGGTTTACCTAAAGAATTCTAACTATATCCCTTCATGCGTGAAAAAGAAATTTGTAGTCAAATATGTTTAGGAAACACTAAACTAAGCACAGTTAAACAGGTTTTCTTACCCAACATTTCCAGAGTCCCTACTATGCCATATACTAGTATGAATTATGGATCTTTATGGGTGGATGACATATAGTGTATGGTATTTTCCACTTTTGGCAGAAAAATTGGGTGAGCTAACTTTCTGTAAGAACAGATAGTGGGGATGACTTCACTGTGGTCCTCTTAGCTTTTCTCTAGTGGCCCCAGAAAAATTATCACTAAAGCAGTCTGGTTAATCTTCACATGGCTCTTATTTGTCCTTAATTATAAATGGTAACAGTATATAAACTAGAAAACATTTGAGAAATTCTTTTCAAGTACTCTGAATAAAGGATAGAATAAACTCATTTTCTTAGATTTTATAATAAATGGGTCCTTCCTAGTAAATGATCTCTGTCCTCACACTGTTAAAGTCGCATTAGTTCAGCTGAATGAAGGTCCCTGAGGCAAAAACAATAAATGGTTACTTTCTCATTCAACTACAGCAAGTTGACCTTCAATAAAATATGATACTTAAGATTGATAGTTATTGCTGATAGAGCTAAAAAGTAGTGGCAATTTTTTTTCCTTAGGGTGCATACATGCAAAATATATTGAATATATTTATTTAAAAATATAATCAAGTAGAATAAAATGTTAATCTATGTAACTGCTGGGAAACTGAGGAAAAATCATCAAATATTCACTTTATTAATTCATAATATTCTTGATGTAATAAAATTGTATTTAATTCAGGAGAATTAAATTCTCATGAAATTTAATTACTCAATTATGCCATAAATCGAGACAACCTGAAGTATGGCTGACATTTGGAAAAAGAGAACAGCATTGAGTGAGGTCTTTTTTCTACATCTCCTTAACTGAGGATAAGCACTGGTCACTGCCATGTGGGGTGGCTAAAATTCAGATACAGCGTATGCAGTATTGCATAGGAAGTATTGGCTTGAAAAAAATAGAGGGCAAAGTTTAGGGTCCCCATAGTAATGGGAAAGGAAAGTGTTACTGAAACCCCAGGGGTTCAGTCTAGGCCCTGCTACTTGCTGCACAGAAATCCAATCACTAAAACAGTGAGTATTGCCAGGAAAGAAGGCTTTAATCTGGTGCTGCAGCCAACAAGATGGGAGATTAGTCTCAAATTCATCTCTCTGACTAACATTAATTAATAAAATGTTGTGTAACAATATGAAGAGCTCTCTTGTACATGTAATTGGAGTCCTAGATGGAGAAAATGAAGAATATAGAACGAGTATTTATTTGAAGAAATAGTAGTCAAAATTTTCCCAAAGTTGTTGAAAAATATTTACAAATTGAAGAAGCATATAAAATAAATAAAGATATATCCAAAAAGCCCACTATTGAACTACATAGTCAAACTGCCAAGGATAAAGGCAACTGAAGAAAAATGAGGTACTACGTACAGTGGAACAATTATATGAATGTACACTGATTTCACATCTAAATTATGAAAACTAAAAGACATGAGAAAACTTAAAAATGATGAGAGGGGAAAACAACCAACCATAACAACTGCATAAACAAACAAGCAAAAACCCTCAACTCATAATTTTAAATCCAGAGAAAATATATTTTAAGAATAAAAGTATAGATATTTTTAGACAAACAACACTAAGACATTTCACCGCCAGCAGATTTTCGGTACAAATGAAACTAAAGGAAACTAGGCGGGCTAAAGGAAAATTATACCAGATGGAAACTAACTCAGGACAAGATGAAGATAACCAGAAACACCTAATATGTGGATACTGTTGGCTGTAGCGTAGATTTAAAAAAACAAACACACAAAAGGAATACAAAAAAAGAGTTAATATTTTAAGACATCTATACACGGAGATAGCAGAGTTTGGGGTCCTTGGGTGGTTCTGATTTATTTTTTATGTTGATTGAATTCATCAGAAAATAATTTGACTTGGTAGTTCATGTTTATATTACCTTATATTAATTAATATTTTTGTCCCTTTCATTTTTCTCATTGTTCTACCCCATCCCCTTAAAAATTACAATAAATTTTTAAGAAGTCCACACATTGAAAAATCTGTAAGTTATATTAGACAGGAAGTTATGTAGTAATGAAGCTAAGTGAAGCTCTTTGCTCAAATTTAAATGTAACCAGATGACCTAAGTAAATATATTAATTGAATTAAAATTTAATTTGTTGTAGAGCTATCCTTTGTTTAATTCTGTATTTATAGGTTAACTAGTGCTGTAAATCTGTAAAACAAACCAAAACAGTACATAATGCCATACCTCAATCTTTACTTAACACAAACATCAACTCCAAATTAAATAAATGTTGTACTAAAACCCATTAAGTGTAGCAACGTGAGATCTATCAGGAGAAATATAAAATAAACAGTGATAAATCATTTTAGTAATAAGATGTCATTTTATATCTTACTACCGAAACACAATTCCTCTAAACTGACAAATGAATCTATTATCTTAAAAATGAAGGCAAATGTAAATTCTAATCAACTTTGAAATCTCTTTCATTTTTCCCATTATTTAAGTATTCTTGTGTTTCCAGTTAAGTCATATTTTAGAAAATAAATAAATAAGCATTTTTAGATTGAGAAATATGAATTCTACTTTATGATGGCACAGATTAGCAGAAACATGAAGAGGAAGAAAAAAGTACAGTTGATGTAACAATATGGCTCAAAGATTTTTTAAAAACCCTCTGTTTTCTCAAGTGACCACTGATTACTTGAATATATCTACCTCACAAGCTTTGAACATTAAATTTTCTCATTCAAGAAACTGGTGTTAAACGTATTTGTACTATTCACTCCACATGAGCTTTCTGAATATCGTATGAACTAATGGATAACTAAATAAAGATTAAAAAGCAAAACCTTGGTGATCTTTTAAAATGTATTCCTGTATTGTCAATTTTATGTGCACACAAATACACACATTTTTATTAATGTAAATGTTTATTGTGAATAGTTTTTATACACTATGGGTTTGATTTATTTTAGCTAATAATTCTTTGATCTGTCCTTTAGATTTCCTTTATGAGATAAAATATGAATGACTAGGTGCAAAAAGATACCTGGGCCAGGTGTGGTGGCTCACGCCTGTAATCCCAGCACTTTGAGAGGCCGAGGCAGGCGGATCACGAGGTCAAGAGATCGAGACCATCCTGGCCAACATGGTGAAACCCCATCTCTACTAAAAATACAAAAATTAGCTGGGTGTGGTGGCGTGTGCCTGTAGTCCCAGCTACTTGGGAGGCTGAAGCAGGAGAATTGCTTAAACCCAGAAGGTGGAGATTGCAGTGAGCTGAGATCACACCACTGCACTCCAGCCTGGTGACAGCAAGATTCTGTCTCAAAAAAAAAAAAAAAAAAATCTGTGCATAGATCCTAGTGTCTGGAGGGCAGAGCAGAAACCCAACTCTTGTAAAACAGATGTTCTTATCATGAAGGTCCAGAGATAGATAAAGGGGACCCAAGGACACATGGACCCAGTACATTACATACAGAAATATTTGTCTGCACCTATGTTCATTTTCTGTGATATATCACAGAAATAACAAAATTCCCAATGACATTTTAGGGACAATTTGATTAAGAACCTAAGAGAATAGATTATTATTCAATTGGTGGACACTGTTGGTTAAAAAAATGACTTTGAAAACTGTAAAGCATTATACAAAAAAACTATCAATGGCAGTGTCTTGCATTGTCTTACATAAGTAGATACTCATACATATCTATCAGGTGAATTAATATTATTTAGGAAGCAAGTATGACATATTACATACTTTCCCCATGATCTATAGTATGTAATACATAAGTAGTAGAACAAGAGACAGAGCTTTAACACATTAAGCACCAGCTTTTATCTATGTATTACAACTTGTCTTTCTATTCACAGCTAAGCTCCTGTTAACTAAAGTTAGACATTAGTTAACTGGATTATTAATGTCTTCACATCACATTTAAGACGACAGTTACCTTCTCCACTTAATAAGGTACTTGAACTGTATAAACAAGCTGTTTGCGTATTGTACCCCAGGAAGAACTAGAGTCAACCCTCTAAGCTTGCAATTATCTCATTATGTCTGTAAATATGGAAATGAATAAATTCAAGGAATAACTAGGTATACTGTAAACTTGTACTTTGCCATTCCTTTCCAGGGTGTTATACAACATGTTATTTGATGAGCAAGAGAGGAAAATTAATTGTATTTTCAGCTTCTTCTGTGTAAGGTTCTTATTCTTGGGTTTCATTCATTTGTTTGATATTGAGTAGAATACTTCACATAACTCACTGCTTCACCTCACTCATGGGTCTCAATTCCGCAGTCTCCTGAGTGAGGCAAGAACCAGAAATGGAAGTTGCAAGGCCTTGAATTACTCGCTTTATTTGCTCACCTTAATATTCTACCCTCCCTACCAGTCTGCACAATGAAATCCAATTCCACTCCTGTGCCTATCTTGGTCCGTGACCCTACTTATAATTATTTAGCTGGCCAGGCTTGAAGACACAGCCCTAACTTTCTCTTTAGCCTGCTTATTTTCAAATGTCCATGTTCAATCACTCTTCTGTCAGCATAAGTGAGAATTGGTGTCAGGAAACAGGAAAAGAAATAGTAATAAGGATCTTAGTCAAATGGTTAGAAATTTTTGGAAAATTATATAATGCTTTCAGTTAATTATCTCTAAGCACTTGGATTAGGGCTCACCTTTCTTTTACAATGATCATTTTTATTTCTAATTTGTAATGAATATTTATTTATTTTATAGGAATAATAAAAGAAAGAAAATCATTGTTCTTAATTTTTTTTTTAGACAGAATCATGTCTGTAGGGCCAGAGGTAAAACTGAGAAGCATTATTAGAGTTTTCAGATTAATCTTGGAAAAAACTTCTAAATCATCCTACTTCAAACAATTAATGCCTGGCCTACCATGGCCCAAGTAATTAGAAGTATATTTCCAATAATTAGGTTTAATTCTACTCAGGCTTTAGATGATCTATTTGGAGGCATGGATAATTGGGACTTGATTACATATAATATGTAATATATATGAAATTAAATATGATATTTAGTAAATTTATGCTAATAAATTATATATTGTTTGCATATACTATAAATTAGTATCTGTTTGTATATATACCAAAATTTTCAGCAAATATTGGCATTTAAATCTCCTTATAAAAATAATACTGTTGGTCAAAAAATAGAGTATTTTCTTATTTATAACTTCAAACAATCCTCCCAGTCCTATATAGAAGAAAGCAAGCCTTCTTAGTTCATTCATTTCTCTCAGAGTAAAGCAACCATTGTTTTTTCCTGATTTAGAGGAGTAAGGTAACTCATGAGACGTTCCATGTAATCAGCTAGTAAATAGCATTTATTCTGAATTTGTAAACAGTACTTATTTTGAATTATATCCTAGAGATTAAGTATTGGCCAGTCAATTACATTTTACTGTACTATACCCAAATTACCAGGATTGATTTGTTCGAATTTAGTCGCTAAGTAAATATTAACACTTCCCCTCAACAGATCTGCATTGCCACCAACTCCCTACTAGGTACTCTGCAAAATCATAGCCAATCCTTAATGACAACAGAAAATAGCCCTCAGCAGTGGGCCCCCAAGATTTCCACACTGTCCACAAGACAGAATTGATTGCTATTTCTTGCCTCAGCTATTCAATGAGTAAATGAAAGCAAGAGAAACAAGCTAAGAAAGAAATACTATTTCCCCATTAATACTTTTAATATATACTCTTGAACTAAATGTTAGTAGAAATACGAATGTTAAGGGTGCTTTGGGGAAAGGCTCAGAAGGAAATAAGAAAAATGTCACTGGAGAAAGAAGAAAGATGATCTTTCTTATATAGTCAGAGAAAACATGGCTTAATTGTGTCCTACAGCTAGGTAGAAAGCAGAACTTGTAAGCTGATAAGCTTAGATATTTAGCTGAGAATTCCAAACAAAGTGTTGAAGGTGTGGCCATGTTTCTTCTGTTGCTTACAGTAAAATGTAGGAAGAACAAGACAAATTGAGAGAGAAAATTTTAACCAAAAAGAAACCAGCATTTTATAACGGGAAATTTTTCAGCCTAGCCAGATTGCAAAGAACACTAAATTTAACCTCACTGTTAGGAAAGTGTGCTCTGGAGAAAAAGCAAAATGGACGGCTAGACAAGCATTTATAGGATTTATAAGATTTATAAATCCACTCAAACACCTCAGCAGAAGCCAGGAAAAGAGATGGGATAATCCAAGAAATATCTGTGGAGGACCCTCTTGGCTCATTGTGTGACTCCCCATGACATACACAGAAGACCTACAAAATTTTTGAAAATATTGTATCAGCAGAAACACTATCAGTTGGACTGACAGGGACAGAGAGAGGACAAAATGAAGAAAGTTGTCAGATTTCCAAAACTCTACAGGATGGAAACAGGTTGATATTACTATTTGGCTGCAAATATTTTCTGTTCTTCGAGAAATACCCAGATGAGTGTGCCACAGGTGCAGAGACCCACAGAGACATGGGTGCAAAGGCCTATGGAGCTACAGCACTAAGGCAGAGGCTGGAAGCATATTCATAGGTGCAGAAGTCAAAAGCAAAAACACAAAGGCAGAGACCTACTGAGCCACTAAAGGTACAGAGACAAAGGCTTACAGAAGTGCTGCTGGGGTCAGAAGCTATAGAGCTGTCTCAAATAGAGGCTTATGGAGCTGCCATGCTCCATATTTCACCTAACTAGAGAAATCATGAGCCCAGAAGGCAGAACCCCTAGCCACAGAGGATTATACCCAGGCCTTGAAATCTAACTGAAGTTGGCCTGTTGGTTTTGAACATGCCTGGAACTGGTGATCCTTTTATTCCTTAATTTTTCTCCCTTTTGAAGTGGAAATATTTAAAACTGTTATCCTATCCCTATCCTGCCATTGTATTTTTAAAAATAACTTGTTTTCTACTTTCAGAGGTCCACAGATGAAGAGAAACTTTGCCCCAGGATGAGTAATACTCAATGTCTCACCCATACCTGATTTAGATGGTGACATCTGGGACTTTTAAGCTAATGATATTTAGGTGAGATTGTGGACATAGAGTTACTGCTTTAATACGTTGAAGCTTTGTAGGATGTTGGAATGGGATAAATGTGTTTTGTGCATGAGGCAGATGTAAATTTTTAGGGCTCAGAGGGTAGACTATAGTGAACTCAATGGTGGTTCTCAAAAGATATGTCAATGTCCTTATCCCCAGAACCTGCGAATGGTACCTTACTTAGAAAAAGGATCTTTGCAGATGTAACTAAGACAAGGATCTTGAAATGAGAAGACTATGCTGCATTATCTGGCTGGGCCATAAATCCAATGGCAAGTGTCCTTATAAATGATGCACAGAGGACAGCCACAGAGGAAGAAGCAATATGGGTACAGAGACAGATATTGGAAACATATGGCCATAAGCCAAAAAATAACTGAAGCCACCAGAAGTTGGAAAAGGCAAGGAATAGATTTATCCTTGGAGCTTTTAGAGGAAGTGCAGCTTTGCCCATCCCTCAGTTTTGAACTCTGGCATCCAGAACTGTATTTATAGTGATAAATTTATATTTTTTTGAAGCCACTAAGTTTGTGGTATTTGTTACAGTCACCCTAGGAAAGTAATACAGTGCTATAGCCCTTGCTTGGGACCTTGGGGAGAGCATGCCCCATCTTCTTGGCCATGGGCTCCTACAGTAAAGCTTCTATTATGCTGAGCTGGGGAAGGAAAAGAACAGATTATGACACAGGTACTACATGCTCTTATTGTCTTACGAGATTTTGCGGATTTTCTTGAGTAAATGTTTCTTTATTTGCTGTATGCCTTTAGGACAATTTCCAGATACTTTATGTTTTTTACCCATTATTTTCACCAGTTATGGTTGTTTTATTGAGAAGCTGGTTCACCAAAGCCCTGCACACAGGCATTCCAAAAATGAATCTCCCAAAGTTTGGTTTTTATTCCTGTCTAACTCAGATGAAAACAACACAAATACGTGAAATAGAGAAGTTTAGTTAAAATAGTCGTGTCTTTGTCAGCATATGGTGACAAAGATATTAGATATTTTTGAAAAAACTAAATGCCATGCTAGTCTATTTAGAGGAAAATATATAATTTTCCTTTACAAACTCATCCAGTAAGGACATAAAAATGCAATGTGCTTAAAATGAAGCAACCTTCAGTAGCCTTATCAGATTTTTTCTCCCTAATGTTATATTCCAATAGAGGATTCTTCTTGCCCTCACACTATTCCAAGCAACATCCCTCATATTATTTCAACATACTCAAAATCGCTTTTTCAGAAAGAAAAAAAAGCTTAGCTTTGCTTTTTAATAGTATTTATAAGCATAAAAGTTGGATAATACTTCATCAGTGCTAAAATATGTCAGGCTCTTAAATTTTTGTAACTCCAACCCAAAAGCTTAACAATCTACATTTCCAGATGCTTGATTTTATCTAAATAATGCACATATCTTTTCAATCATCCACCCAGTATTCTTTCACTTTAGGTACACTCAGGAATGTTAATATTTCATTGTTTTTTTCCAAGTCCTGCAAAGAGTACTATAGAAATGATTGATATTCCAGAGAACTACATTAACAGATATGTTAGCTATTCATTCATCCAGTTTCTCAAATCAGAATTCTGCTCTCAAATCAATTCAGATCAGAAAAAGCTACAAATGTGAAATACATTTTACTCTTTCCAACACCAGGTGAATTTAAGAACTATTAATGCATAAATGCTAATAAAGTGTATGTTATTCTAATAAAAATTACACTTCTCCCATTAAAATAATTTGTTATAAATTAAACTAAATTAGAGTAACTCATAGGTATTTATTTGTTCAATACAAGACTCAAAGTACAAAGTTTGGGCATGCTTACATTTTGGGGGGTTACACAAGGGAATAGTTTATACAAAATAATAAATAAATAGTTATGAAATTATCTTTTCTAAAAAAAAAAAGCAGCAGCATAAAACCTAAAGCATTCTGACTGTAGGTAATAGTATTAACTTCAAGACAAATCTATACCAGTTTGGGAGTTCTAGAGGTAAGATATTTTAACTGTTTATCCTAGAGGTAACTTTCTGGTGTTACACTGGCAAGTTGCTGAGAAACCTCACCTCCTAAATAATTGTCCTGAATTTGATATGAAAATTTTACCTCTTACTTCCTTGGTTTCTGACATTATTAAGTTGTCAAAATTTCTGAAAGAAGGAAAAATTTAAGCCTTATTGCTTATTTGCATTACCCTGATAATGCAAATTTAGCTGATATACAAGGTTAACCTGAGCTGGGTAGAAGCCTGGGCCACTGCTGCTTTTTAAGGATCCCAATATGCAAAAAAAGAAAAATCAGATTTATACAATGTTACAATTAGTTTGCATAGACTTAAGAGTATGCAAACTAATTGAAATATTAATCTGATATACTTTATGAATATCTTCTTACTGAAGAGCAAAAACATGTCTATGAGAACCAGGAGGGAAAAAAGAAGGGCAAAGAACATACAGGATATAATCCAAACAGAATAATTAATTACTGACTTCAGTTTTTGGATATGAAAATTTTCTGTCTTCAAGGTTTTATTTTGGAAAGTCTTCCCCATCAAGTACATTTATTTAGAGCTTTTAATCAATAATAATTCATTGATAATAAGTATACATACATGCATACCTGTATGTATACATGTTTGTGTATCTGTATGGACATATATAAATAAGCTATAAAATTAGAAAATAACTTTCAGTTAATTTGTATATATAATTCATGCTTTCAAATTATGTTTATATAATAATTATTCATGAACAATTTGTATCATTGTATATGTACATGCAGACTTTATTTAGGAGAATCAAGTTCCCATGCCTGTTAGATATTCAAAAAAATTTTTTAATTAAATAAGATTATATTTTAGGAAATTTAGTCTCTGTTTTTGTGCTTAATTGGAGATTTTTCAGAGTTAATAGGCTTTCTCTGTTCAATAAATTCTATTACACTATGTTACAAACACAGGAAGACATAATTAAATGAGGAGTTATGCCCTGTTTTTATTTTGATATATTTCTCTTTTATAAAATTTGGTTTATTCTGTTAATCAAAAGCAACAAAACAAGAAATAAATTAACATTGAATCAAAAATTTGAGACACAATTCATTTTGGCCTCTTAGAATCTAATTCTGAAACTAATTCTCCAGCTAAATAATAAAAAGCTTTGGGTTCATGACTAATGACAAAGAATGAGACAGAAATGCCAATATAGGAAATAATTGAAGTGTATGCATCAGTGTATTATACATTATCAATGTTTTGTTTTCATAAATGTGTATATATATTTTCTATATATATTATTAAATAAAGCTCAAGATTATTTTTTCCTTTACTAACTAAATATTCTCAAACACTTGCTTTTTAACATCCTGTATGATAACCAACCACTGATAAACAAATACTGACAAAATGTATCTAGATATCAATAAGAATTTGGTCAAAACCTGAGTCAGTCATAATTATTAATGCAAAAGAGAAGACTTCATTTATGGAAAAAAAGCAGTTATCTGGCATATAATATGTTACATTAGATGTAAATAATTAGAAAAGACTACT
Source organism: Homo sapiens (assembly GCF_000001405.40). Lineage (NCBI taxonomy): Eukaryota > Metazoa > Chordata > Mammalia > Primates > Hominidae > Homo > Homo sapiens. Next base: position 188,062,432 of record NC_000002.12, read on the forward strand.
GTACTATATCCATATTTACAGAGATGTCATTTTATTAAACTCACCTCAAGGCCTAGCTAATTGTTTACTTAGAGACTATACCTTTAGATTGGTTTTGAATTAATTCCAATGTGCTTTCTGAGCAATATAAATGGATCTGAAATAAAATTTTAATAATGTTTTGTAAGAGTTGGTATTACCATTGTCTCAGGAACTGAATGGATATTAAATAAAAGTTTCTTGATATAAATATCACTTATGCGTTCATTACGTACTTCTAGTAAAATGCACTCTAAAACAATAAAATTTAGTGAGAGAAGAGACATATAACTGAAAGGAAAATCACATAAGTAAGACTTTTATTTTTAATATAGAAATGGTCATCAATTGTATCTTTCTGAACACAAACAATTATCAAGCATAGAAATATGATCAAGAGTAAGATGATAATTCATTCAATTTATCAATCATTCTTTAGAGTCCACTTTCATGTGCAACAGTGTTCCAGGGATGAGGATACAAAATATAAGAGATACATTGGCAGAAGGAAGACCCACATTATCTAATAGGAATGGTAGCTATGTGGAAGATGATAAAAGGTGTTACAGATTTCCCCTGCTTCTCACTCATAGTCATATCTGTGGATCAATAGGTCAAATATATGAAAGAGAGACATCCACTAGTTATTTGAAAGAAAAAAATACAGGATCATTTTACTGTCAAGGCACTCCATTCATCTGTCCATATATTGCCTTGTGACCTATTGTTTTCCTGTTGTCCTGCACTACACAATGAGCTCCTGGAAGTTAGAGATGTTTTCAGTATATAGTGCAGTGGTCCATGTGCACATAGTAATTTCTCAGTAAATATCCACTAGAAAAAAAAATCCACTGAAAGAAAACATGCTTCCCCACTTTCTTCATTGGTTACAGGGCAGTAGACTTCTTGATTACATTTTTACACTACAAAGTGACCCACCCTAAGAAATGCCAGTGACAGCATCTGTGTTTACTGATCATCACAACCAATGTCTTGCAGTAAAATTTAAATTTGTTTGTTTTCTACAGCGATAGCAATGATTTTATTACACGGTATCTGCAAGTTATATTTTTTATTTAAATAACATTCAATGAGGGAAAATTCATGTCTTTTTAATAAATTTGTAATTATTGTGAGTTATATTAAAACTCACTGATTTTTACTCATCTTTCGTTTTTATAATATTTACCTATTACTTAATAAACTAAGATATAATATTAAGAATATCTTCATATTATTGACATGAAAATTCTTATGAGGACATACTTTGGTTATCTAATTTAAATATGTATTTTAAGTTTTTATAGGCAAAAAATTTATACACTATCTCAGAAGAAGTGGTTCTCTTTCAATTCACTACAATGGTGTTGTAACTTATTTGGGAGTGAAATTCTAAAGAAAGAAAACAATCCAATAGTGATGTATTGAAAAAATTCGTGTTTATTTGGCTATGCATAACATAATGTTTTTCAAACTTAACTTTGTGTGGACAATTGTGCATAGTAATGTTTATGCACATGAAAATTTGAGAACCATGGAAACTACGAGAGTAAAGGGGAAAGAGTTAGAGTCTCTAGGTGGGTGGGAGGGTTTTCAAACCATCCTAGCTTTAAGATAACTATTAAATTCATAGTGATTAATGGAAGTGGACTATGTACATGTGATTAAATAAGGTTTCTAGTGATTTGAATTTAACATCCAAATTTATATAGCATGCATGTGCCAAAGCTTAAAAAAAAGCTCTCACATTTCAGAGTAAATGGGAAATGGGTCCAGAATTCTAAGAGCTTAAACTTTATTAAAATATTTACTCTATGATTATGTCTTTATAATTATTCCTCTGTCATTTTCTTGAATGTTAATACATTTGTTGGAGCCACTCACTGTTTGTTGTTCCTTGAACACACTAGGTATTCTTCACCGTGTGAACTTCTGTTTCCTCCTTCTCCTATATTACCCTTCAACCATTAAGGCACATGGTTCATTTCTTATCTTCAGCTTAAATATTATTATTGGGGCACCTCACAATATATATAATACCTTTTCTTGAACATTCCTTATTTTCCCATAGCACTTATCACTATTTGACGTTTACTTCTTTATTTATAGTTTTAAATTCCATACTAGAACGTAAACTTCATGAGTTCATGAATTGGCTGCTGTTTGCTGCTCATTCCTAGACACTAGAAGAGTGCCAGGGCCACAGTAGGTTTTCCTTCAATAATTACAGAATGAATGCATATATGAATTAATTAAACATTTAATACAGAGTAAACAAGGCAGAGTAGTCAATAGTTGTATATGTGTTAGCAACTCTACTTTCATTGAGTCTCGTGTGTGTTTGTGTGCACATACATGACCCTTATTCACAGAATGAAATATTTGAATCCCTTAAGTTCTAGGGTATTTAGTCATTTTAGAGTTGAAGAACCACCATATACCACTATATTAACAGGAACACAATAGAGAAAAATCAATGAATCTAAACATTTATTTGAAAAGATTAACAAAACTGATAAACTTCTAGCCAGGCTAATGAAGGAAAAATGAGAGAGAAGACAAAAATTATCAATATCAGTACACTGGGAGGCTGAGGCAAGTGGATCACTTGAGGTAAGGAGTTCAAGACCAGACTGGCCAACATGGCGAAACCTTGTTTCTAGTAAAAATACAAAAATCAGCTGGTGTGGTGACAGGCGCCTGTAATCCCAGCTACTCGGGAGGCCGAGGCAAGAGAGTTGTTTTAACCTAGGAGGTGGAGGTTGCAGTGAGTCGAAATCACACCTCTGCACTCCAGCCTGGGTGACAGAGTGAAACCCTGCCTCAAAAAAAAAAAAAAAAAGAAAAAAACAACAATATCAGAAATGAAAGAGAGGTTATGACTACCAAATTCATGGACATTAAAAATACAATAAAAAGTCTGGGCGTGGTGGCTTACGACTGTAATCCCAGCACTTTGGGAGGCCAAGGTGGGTGGATCACGAAGCTAAGAGATAGAGACCATCCTGGCCAACATGGTGAAACCCTGTCTCTACTAAAAATAGAAAAATTAGCCAGGTGTGGTGGCACATGCCTGTATTTCCACTTACTCGGGAGGATGAGGCAGGAGAATCACTTGAGCATGGGAGGTGGAAGTTGCAGCCAGCAGAGGTCGTGCCATTGCACTCAAGCCTGGTGCAGAGCGAGACTCCGTCTCAAAAATAATAATAATAATAAAGAAATATTACAAATGACTATAACCACAAATTTGATAACTTAGATGAAAGGGACCAAAACCCTTGGAAGATATAAACTACCAAACTATATTTTGTATTGTTCTGTTTTGATCTTAAGTCCTGGTCACCTAGTCTGAGATCTGAATAAAGGAGGGACCCAAAAATATTTATTGAAGAAATAATAAAAGAAATAATAAATACCTTGGAAGGGCATGAGCTTTAAAACAAGAAGATATGGAGATTTGTTACTTCAGGAGAAAAATAGAGAACACAATTATGTCTGTTATCAGAGACTGCTGACAACTAATAAGAATAATTTATACCAGTATTTATACAAAGGCATACAGCTTCATGAACAGTACAGCCATAACTCGGACTTTAACACTGATTAGAGGCCGGGCGCTGTGGTTTACGCCTGTAATCCCAGCACTTTGGGAGGCCGAGGCGGGCGGATCTCGAGGTCAGGAGATCTAGACCATCCTAGCTAACACGGTGAAAACCCGTCTCCACTAAAAATCCAAAAAATTAGCCAGGCGTGGCAGCGGGCGCCTTGTAGTCCCAGCTACTCGGGAGGCTGAGACAGGAGAATGGCGTGAACCCGGGAGGCGAGCTCGCTGTGAGCTGAGATTGCGCCACTGCACTCCAGCCTGGGCGCTAGAGCGAGACTCCGTTTCAAAAAAAAAAAAAAAAAAAAAAAATACTGATTAGAATCCTGGAAAACTGCACAGAAATAAAAATAGATCAGAAAAGACAGTAGTTTCCAGGAAATAGAGCCATGAAAGCTTTAAGGAAGGGCAAAATAGTTCAGGGGACATTTGAAGAACTATGACAGAGTCTTCATTCTTTATTGAGGCAAAGGCAGGATCCAAGTATTTTTGACCTATCTATAAGGCAGTAATTCATTCAGATCAAGGCCAAAAGAATGAATGAGGTGGTAAAAAGGGTCAGGGTATTAAAGGTTGGGAAAGAAAAATGGAATGTTTATATATGTACATATGTATTTATTTAGTTTTAATTGACAAGTTATAATCGTGCATCAGTGAATGAATAGTTAAAGAAAATGTGGTAAATATACACAATGGAATACTATGTACCCTTACAAAAGAAGGAAATTCTGCCATTTGTGACAACATGGATGGAATTGGAGGACACTGTATTAGGAATAATATCTTGATAGATGTCTTAGACGCACATTCTGGATACTAAGTATCTGTAAGTCTTGGCATTACTTTCATAAAGAACCTGTTTTGGACTGAAGAATGATAAATCATACTCACCAGTGAAACTGATTATGAACATCACATTGGGCTGAACTGACTGACAACACAAAAAGAATTAGAACATTTCAAAAACCATACATGAAGAGTGTAGAAAAAACATTGGCTAATTCACTATAGTGTGGAGAAGTCCACAAACAGCAATTGTTAGAATTATTTTCTAATGTCTAATAATATTTTACATGTATTTCAGAGGAAGAAAAAAATAAGATATTTTATAAAATGTGCACCTTTCTGTGGAACAGCCAACAGGAACAAAACAAACATGCAAATCGAATATTTAAGTCATGCTGGAGGAAAGAAGGAATGAATAAAGTGCAAACCTGGGACTGAGAATCAGTTCTAGGGACTGAAAAAACAGAAGTATATCACAAATCTTGATGAATAAATGAGAAAATTAAAAATGAGGATCCTCTAAATGTCATCCAGTTGCCGGAATTCATACTAGGCATTTTCGCAAGTATAATCTTAATTACTCCTTTCACAAAGGGTATGGATTAAGAATTATTATCTCCATTCTGTAAATAAGATCACTCAAGCTCAAAGAATGAGTCACTAAAATCATCTAATCAGAAAGGCACAGGTTTGTGTCTGAAAGCCAGGTTCTCTGATTGCAAGTGTCATTCTGTTTTCTTCATTCGTTTCTGCCTCTGTTCTTTTATTGTGATCTACTTAAAGTCATATGTGTCCTAGGGGTACATGAGAGCTCTGAGACAGCTGATAAAAAAATGACAAAGAATTATTTCACCTGTATGTTGATTTAGCTGAGAGCAAAATCACAATTAAAAATTTCATCTGAACTCTTCTTGGAATTATTTGGTTTCTGTATATTCTAGAATTAATTTGGTGTTAGTTTCTTATTAAAACAACATTCAATTGTCACATGACAAAGGTGTCAACATTTGATAAAGATTTGAATTTATAATTTCTTTTCAGTTGTTATGAATACAGTTCCCAAAGACACTCAATATACGCTTAAGACAGAAACAATAAACTGTATAACATTGAAATAAAACTTATTTATAATTTGTTAATTTGGAGGATCTCTGAAAACTTATTACATACTCACAATATCAAAAATATCATTTTGTACTGAGGACAAGAAAAATATGAGGGGGCATTCAGCATTGCTCTTTCATAGCTGTTTTCTTCGGCACTTAGAAATGGGCCTAGATGTAAATATATCAGGGATACCCATTCATAAAATAGAATATTTAAATAATTTAATTCAGAATCACACAGGGATTGCTAAATGTTAGCCTTAAAACATTGACTGCCGTATTAGTCTGTTTTCACACTGCTATAAAGATGCTACCCGAGACTGAGTAATTTATAAACAAAAGAGGTTTAGTTGACTCATGTTTCCACATGGCTGAGGAGACCTCAGGAAACACATTCATGGCAAAAGGCAAAGGGGAAGCAGCACCTTCTTCACAAGGTGGCAGGCGAGAAAGATCACAGGGTAAACTGCTGATTTTAAACCATCGGATCTGGTGAAAACTCCCTCACTATCATGAGAACAGCATGGGGAAAACCATCTTCATGATCCAATCACTCCTACCAGGTAACCCCTCAAGAAGTGGGGATTACAATTTGATATGACATTTGGATGGGGACACACAGCCAAACTATATCAACAACAAAGAAAAATATTTAGGATCTTAAGACAAAACGTTGAAATAAGATGCTCTCTGAAGTAAAAGAAATAGTCAACATCTTTTGTATGAAAGGATATTGTATGAAAGTAAAAAGAAAAACCAGAAAGTTCAATGTTAAACCATAATGGAAAGGCAAAATAATGTTTAAAATTTGTTCTAAGGAAAAACAAATATATATATGCATACAGTATAGAAGTTTATATTATTTTAGTGAGGCTATATTTACTCTGATCTTTGTATTTATAAATAGATTTATCAAAACCATGTATTCAAAAACAGAAATTTGAGTATCTTTAAATACAGTCAGCTCAGTTTTCAAGTTATATTGTCAAGAATTTTCACATAGATTTCCACAAATTTTCAGTTACAGAAGAATTATTTATTTATGAATCAAAACATACCAGTATGTTTTACTTATTACTTACCTTTCTGCTACATAAATGCCATAATTTCAGTAAAATGGCAATAGAGCTAGTTAATAGTGGCAATTAGAATTAAAGAAATTAATTAGGCAATCAAGTCTACTTAGACAAGTAAGAACATATATGTGAAAAACTATAACAATATGTTTACAATTTACAATTTTCTTTCTGTCTTCTTATTTAGCGATTCATTTTAACTCTTTTAAAACTTGCATTGGATATATAAATTGTATAGTTACATTTTTACACATTCTTTTTAATTTTTAGAAACAAATATGTTTTGTGATGGTTCTACTTGTTTTTAGTAATCTTCATTGCACTCTTATTAGACAAATTTCTACATTAAAATTATATACAATTGCCAAAATGTATATCACCTTGGACAAATTTTGTTTTCCTTAACTAATTAATTCTCTTTTTCAAACTCTATTTTAGGTTCAAGGGGTACATGTGCAAGTTTGTTACGTGGGTAAATTGCGTGTCACTGGGGTTTGTTATACAAATGATTTCATCATCCAGGTAGTGAGCACAGTACCTGATAGGTAGTTTTGTGACCTTTATGCTCCACCTACCCTCCACCTTCAAATAGGCCCCAGTGTCTATAGTTCCCCTCTTTGTGTCCACACGTACTCAGTGTTTAGCTCCCACTTATAAGCGAAAACATGTGGTATTTGGATTTCTGTTCTCATGTTAATTCACTTAGGATAATGGCCTCCAGCTTATTCAATTTGCTGCAAAGAACATGGTCTCATTTAATTTTTATGGCTGCATAGTATTCTATGGTGCATACATACCATATTTTCTTTATTCAGTCCACCACTGTTGAGTGTTAAGGTTGATTTCATGTCTTTGCTATTGTGCATAGTGCTGTAATGAATTTATGAGTGCATATGTCTTTCAGTAGAAATATGCTAAATTCCTTTGGATGTATATTCATAGTGGGATTGCTGAATCAAATGGTAGTTTTGTTTTAAGTTCTATGAGAAATCAAACTGCTTTCCACAGTGACTAAGACTAATTTATATCCCCACCAGCAGTGTATAGGCATCCCTTTTCTCTGCAACCTTATGAGAATTTGTTATTTTTTGACATTTTAATGATAGTCAGTCTGATTGGCGTAAAATGGTATCTCATTGTGGTTTTCATTTACACATCTCTCTTGATTAGTGATGTGAAGTATTTTTTTCATATGCTTGTTCACCACATGTATGTTTTATTTTGAGAAATACCTGTTCATGTCCTTTGCCCATTTTTTAATGGTTTGATTTTTGCTCATAAATTTGTTTAAGTTTCTTACAGATCCTGAATATTAGACCTTTGTCAGATGCACAGTTTGCAAGTAGTTCCTCCCATTCACTAGGTTATTTGTTTATTCTGTTGATAGTTTCTTTTGCTGTGCAGAAGCTCTTTAGTTTAATTAGATCCAGCATTTTTGTTTTAGTTTCAATTGCTTTAGGAGAATCTGTCCGGCACTCTTTGCCAAGGCCTATATCCAGAATGTGTCCAAGGTTTTCCTCTACAGTTTTTATAGTTTTACGTTTTACATTCAAATCTTTATTCTATCTTGAGTTGATCACTGTATATAATATAAGGAAGGGATTCAGTTTCAATCTGCATATGGCTAACTAGTTATCCTAGCACCATTTATTGAATAGGGAGTCCTTTTCCCATTGCTTGTTTTTGTTGACTTTATTGAAGATCAGATGGTTGTAGATGTGCAGCTTTATTTCTGGGTTCTCTAACCTATTCCATTTGTCTATGTGTCTATTTTTTTTTTTTACCAGTACCATGCTATTTTGATTACTTGTAATATAGTTTCAAGTTGGATAGTGTGATGCTTCCAGCCTTTTTTTTCTTAGGATTGCTTTGGCTATTCAGATCTTTTGTTCTATGTGAATTTTAGAATAGTTTTCTCTAGTTCTGTGAAAAATAATGTTGGTAATTTGATAGGGCTAGCAATGAATCTATAAATTGTTTTAAACAGTCTGGCCATTTTAACAATATTGATTCTTCCTATTGTGAACCCCAAATTACTGAGAAAGGTCTCAGTCAATTTAGAAAGTTTATTTTTGCCGAGGTTAAGGATGCACACCCATGACACAGCCTCAGGAGGTCCTGACATGTGTGCAAGGTGGTCAGGGCAGAGCTTGGTTTCATGCATTTTAGGGAGACATGAGACATCAATCAATAGATGTAAGATGTACATTGGTTCGCTCCAGAAAAGCAGGACAACTCAAAGTGGGGAGGGGACTTCCAGGTCATTTGTAGATAAACACCTACAGTTATATTGCTTAACTTTCTCCCTAGCCTTTCCAAAGGAAGCAATCAGATATGCATTTATCTCAGTGAAAAGAGGAATAACTTTGAGCTCTGCCTGTGCTTTGTCTGCAAGGAATTTCCTTGTGGATAAATTGTGAGGGAGGTATGTAACTTTTTTATGTTAGCAACTATCTTGTTCAGGAATAGAACGAGAGGCAGGCTTAGTGATTTTGGATCCTGAGATTCATTTTCCTTTCACACTTTCAGTGAGCATGAAATCGTTTTCCATTTGTTTGTGTTGCCTCTGATTTCTCTCAACAGTGTCTTGTAACTCTCATTTTAGAGATTTTTCACCTACCTCGTTAGCTCTATTCCTAGTTATCTTATTATTTGTGTGGCTATTGTGAATGGGGTGGTATTATTGGTTTGGCTCTCAGCTTGGTACTTGTTGGTGTATAGAAATGCTACTAACTTTTGTACATTGATTTTGTACCCTTACATTTTACTAAAGTTGTTTATCAACTCTAATAACCTTAGGACAGAGACTATGGGGTTTTCTAGATACAGAATTACATCATCTGTAAAGAGAGATAATTTCATCTTCTCTCTTCCCATTTGGATGCCTTTTATTTCTTTCTCTTCCCTGGTTGCTCTGGCTAGGACTTCCGGTACTGTGTTAAATAGCAGTCGTAGAGTGGGCATCCTTGTCTTGTTCCAGTTCTCAGTTCCAGTTCTCATGCCTCCTGGTTTTGCCTGTTTAGTATGATGTTGACTGTGCATTTATCACAGATGGCTTTTATTATTTTGAGGTATGTTCCTTCAATACTTAGTTTGTTGAGGGCTTTTTTGAACATGAAGCGATGTTCAATTTCATTGAAAGCCTTTTCTGCATCTATTGAGATTGATATGGACAGGAGACAGGGAAATACCGGGTAGAAGAGGGCAGTTCCCCGGCAAAGACCCCACCCTCAAGACTGGAAGCCCATGGCCCTAAATGGGAACAGGCATTCTTGCTTTCGTGCTCAAATGTTGCCTTTTGGCCCACCACGTTTCCCTATCCTGTACCCATATAAACCCCAAACCCCAAGCTTTACGAGCAGACGAGCAAATGAGTGGATGAACAGAAGAGCAGAGGAGCAGAAGAGCAGTGCTGCAGAGGAGAGAAAAGAAGGAGCATTTGAACGTTGAGAGGAGTTCAGCTGGAGACGGTCTGAGAGGAGATCCGTTGCAGGATGGCCAAACTCCAGGGGAATACCATCTTCCCACTCCAACCTCTTTCTGGCTCCCCATCCATCCCACTGAGAGCCACCTTCACCACTCAATAAAACCTCTTCATTCACCATCCTTCAAGTCCGTGTGTGACCTGCTTCTTCCTGGATGCTGGAAAAGGACCCGCATACCAAGAGGGCACTGAGCTGGTTAACACTTAAGCCGTTGTGGACAGCAAACCTAAAGGAGCACTGTAACACACCCTATGGCTTCAGGAGTCACAGGAACCCACCCCGTAGATACCACCATTGGGGCCAGAGCCCAAAAATGCTTGACCCAGCTACTGCACCTGACTGCATGCTCCCCGCTCCTGTAAGGTGTTTGAGCACGCATGCAGTTGCTGAACAGGTGAGCCACACCCCTGTCACACATCCTGCGAAGGGGGTCAGGGAACTCTCCTATTTCAAGATGATCATGTGGTTTATGTTTTTACTTCTATTTGTGTGATGTATCACATTTATTGATTTGTGTATGTGGTATCAACCTTGCTTCCCAGGGATAAAGCCTACTTCATCATGGTGGATTAGCTTTTTGATGTGCTGCTGGATTTGATTTGCTGGTATTTTGTTGAGGAATTTTGCATCTATATTCATTGGGGATATTGGCCTGAAATTTTCTTTTTTCATTTTGTCTGTCAGATTTTGGTATCAGAATGATGCTGGCCTCATAGTTAGGAATCCCTCCTCCTTGATTTTTGGAGAAGTTTAAGTAGAATTGGTACCAGCTCTTCTTTATATGTCTGGTAGAATGTGGCTGTGAATCTCTGTGGTCCAGGGCTTTTTCCAGTTGGTAGAGTTTTTATTACTGATTCAATTTTGGAACTTGTTATTGTTCTGTTCAGGATTTCAGTTTCTTCCTGGTTCAATCTTGGGAGGTTGCACGTTTCCAGGAATTTACCCATTTCTTCTATGTTCGCTTATATTTAATATACTTAAGAGTGGTGGCAGGCATAGTTTCATTTCTATGTTTAGCACTCCTTTAAGGACCTCTTGTAAGGCAGGTCCAGTGGTAACAAATTCCCTTAGCATTTGCTTTCCTGAAAAGGACTTTATTTCTCTCTCAATTATGAAAATTTAATATTTAGTTTGGCTAAATATGAAATTATCAGTTGCTATTTCTATTTTTTAAGGATACTGAATATAGGCCCAGTCTCTTCTGGCTTGCAAAGTTTCTGCTAAAAGGCCACTATTAGCCTGGTGGGATAGCCTTTGTACACGACTTGCCCCTTATCTCTAGCTGGCTTTAAGTTTTTTCCTTCTCATTGACTGTAGAATCTGATGACTATGTGTCTTGGGGATGATGATCCCCAAGATGATGATCTTGTATAGATCTTGCAGGGATTCTCTGAATTTCCTGAATTTGCATGACAAACTCTCTAGCAAGGTTGGGGAAATTTTCATGGACAATAACCTCAAATATGTTTTCCAGGTTGCTTGCTCTCTCTCTCAATCTCTTTCAGGAATGCCAGTGAGTTGTAGGTTTTGTGCATTTACATAATCCCATATTTCTCAGAAGTTTTATTCATCTTTTAAAATTTATTTGTCTTAATTTTTGTCTGACTGTGTCAATTAAAATGAACAGTCTTTGAGCTCTGAGATACTTTCCTCAGCTTGCTGTATTGTTATTAATGCTTCCAGTTGTATTCTGAAATTCCTGTAGTGAAATTTTTATTTTCAGAAGTTAAATTTGGTTCTTTCTTTCTTGAAATGTCTATGTTGTCTTTCAACAGTTGGATGGTTTTATTGTTTTCCTTTGATTGAGTTCCAACCTTCTTCTGTATCTTGATGAGCTTCCTTATCTTCCAGATAACCAGACTTTGGTCCAGTTAAGAAACATTGCTGGGAGCCAGTACAGTCACCTGGATGCAAGAAGACACTCTGACTTTTAGAGTTGCCAGGGCTCTTACACTGGTTCTTTCTCATCTGTGTAGGCTGATGTTACTTTAATCTTTGAAGTTGTTGTCTTTCGGATGTGGCCTTTTTTTTTTCTTGTATATTCTTTAATGCCTTTGAGGGTTTGACTGTAGTATAAGCTGGGTTTGGTCCATTGGTTTTGTTTCTGGATACATTCAGGGGACCAGAATCTCAGCTTAGCACTCCTAGGCTATATGCTCTAACCCTGGGGGCTGGAACCAGGTCCATGGCTTTGATCTCTGGCTTGTCAAAGTTAACCTAGCAACACTCCAACAGGGGCTACTGACGAAAGCTCCTCAGCAGGGCAGTGGTGAGTCGCCATTTCCCTACTCATGTGTGCACCAGCAAGGTGGTAGTGGTCCTCACACACATGCATGTCAACAATGAGTCCCCATGTACATGTGTGCTGGAGGAGCAGTGCGACTCTCCATTCATGTATGCATGTGTGTGCCAGCAGGGCAGCAAGGGGTCTATGCACATATGCATGCTAATAAGGTGGCAGGATGAGGCTGTGGATGAGTGTGTACCAGTGGGGAAAGGCTGTAAGTGGGTGCATACTGGTTGGGGTCTCCAAAAATATGTGCAAAAGTGCTCGAATCGGTAGGTAGGTTCTCCTGGCAAAGAAGCTATAGTGGTGGCCACTGGAAAGCACTTTGGCTGGGATGCTGGGGTAGTGCTGTAAGTGGATGAGGCCAGGCAGGGACACTGGGAGAGACCAGCAGACAGAGGGTTGCTCAGATCAGACTGGCCCTATATTAGTCTGTTCTTATGCTGCTAATAAAGACATATCCAAGACTGAGTAATTTATAAAAGGAAAGTTTAATGGACTCAGAGATCTGCATGGCTAGGGAGGACTCACAATCATGGCAGAAGGTGAAGGAGGAGCAAAGGCACATTTTACGTGGTGGCAGGCAAGAGAGCATGTGCAGAGGAACTCTGCTTTATAAAACCATCAGATTTCATGACACTTATTCACTATCACAAGAACAGCATGGGAAAGACCCATCTACATAATTCAATTGTGTTCCACTGGATCCCTTTTAGAACATGTGGGGATTATGGGAACTATAATTCAAGACAAGATTTGGGTGGCAACACAGCCAAGTAATATCAGACCCCATCCCACAGGAAGCATAGCCTTGCTCTGTCCAATGCCAGCAGCTAATAAAGTCTAAAGCTGCCTAATGGAGTATGGAGAACTTTGTGGGATGGGCACCCATGGCCATGCTCCACTGCAGCTGTTCCTGTGTCAAATATTCTGGGCTTGATTAATGCAGGAGTTTTGTCTCTACCAACTCTCCAGGCAGTTTTCTCTGCCAGCTCAGATGTCCTTGGGGGTCCTGGGGTCTCCTTCAGCTAGAATCCCAGAGATCAATGGTGAGAGTGGACCACTCCAGGCCTATTTCACTCAGCCCTTCCCTAGGAGCAGCTGGGGGCCAGGAACAAGTCCTGATGCTTGGCAACCTCTTGTAGGGTTCCCAGCTCTCTTCTCTTTCAGCCTTGAGTCTGTATCCACCCTCTGTCCACTCTCAATGTCTTTTTACTGAAGATATATTTGGAGTATCCTCCTCTACTTGATGATCTGGTCTCTCTCAATGGGAAAAGCTCTTTATGGCTGTGTCTACTCAGCCATCTTAGCTCTGACTGATTATGTACTCTTAAGAGCCTTTAATTAGGACATTTTAAAAGAAGAAAATGCAGATTAAATAAACAGACATTACCTATTTTTAATAAAAATAACATTGACATGTTTTTTTCTGTCCTGTGAGCCAGTAGAATATTTTTGTGTTCCTTTTCCAGTGCCATTTATCTCAGCTGCCTGCAGCATAGATGACTAGCTCTGTTCTTTCATGTAGTAGTAAAACTGAATACAACCAAACAGAAAGTTCTCTTTGACTAGCACTATGTTCTTATCAAGCTCAATTACACTGACTCCTTGTGTCAGACAAATGTGATGACATCAACAAAGTAACCTCGCAAGAAAAGTGTTTGAACATGGATTATTTAAGATTTTACTTAATAGCAAAAGCAGAATTCACATGCATAGGGATTTGTTTCCAGCTGTCCTAAAATGTCCTCCTCCTTTATACCTACAGGCTTGTTCATGTAATCCAGCTATGAATCAATCAGGTCCTTTGCATGTATTTATTTGTCATATAGTCTCCTGTTTCAAATGTCGATAATTTAAACATTTCAAAGCACATTGAATGTTTTCATAAGGTAACCTGTTTCTCAGGGAATCATTTTAAGGCACAGAGGTAATTTGAATTTGTTAAATCAAAATTGGGTTCTAAATAAGTTGCAGTTTTAGTAATGAAATTTGAAAAGCTATGTTTAACTCATTGCCTTTTTCTGGTAACATCTTTTTGCATTCTGAAGGAGTCTTATTTCTAAAAATGAGTCATATTCTCTATATGAGTTTTTGTTGCAACCTACATGTAACCTTACAAAACTCAGGTGTAGTCAGTTCATCTTTTTCTAGTTGCCTTATGGTCTTGTCAAAGATTATCAAATATTTTTAGGAAACAGCATATACATTTCTGCTTTACTGTAATCCTTTTATCTATTTTTACTCTCATATGTCTCCAAATTAGAGAAGGATTTTTTTCTTGTTCCACAGTTGGAAATTATAATTTTATGGAAGGCCACCATTTTAATATCTTTTCCATGTCAAGCAACAATGATAGCCATCTTTTAGGCACATGCCTAATGAAGCTATTTCCTTCTATACCTATACAATCAAAAATATAATTATGTGCTTCTTCATATTTGAGGACACTAAAAATGACCAAAAACTTTCATTATGAAAGCCCTAATATGGCACGCAAGCAGATCACACACCTTTTAATCTACATGTTGTAGAAGGTAACGAGGACATTTAGCTGGCAAGATCTTTTTACTTTCTTTGATAAGGAGTTTACTGACTGAATGGAATTTGCCAACATTTTTATTTTCATCGTCTACTGAATATGTGGATATAGGAGCAAGTCTTTTCCAAAGTTTCATTAAAATATTCATACAAATTAAGAACACTATTTGAAACTTAATTTTTCAAATTAAAGTGTCTATGTACTAAAAGAAACATTTTGTTACTACTGTGATTCCATGCACCTCCCTTGACCCACTGTAGAAAACATAATCTTTGCTAAGATCTGACAGAATCAGATCTACCCCATAAGAGGCCAATGCATCTGTTATCAAAATCCCCTATTTTTTCCCCAACAGGACATTTTAGATGCAACTTCTGAATCAGGCCAAGTAATTAACACAGTTTCATACAACCATCAAGGGAATAATATGATAATGCATGTTCATTACTGGGATATGCCTAAGGTAATTCAGTGGCCACTGTTTTCAACTGACCATTGGTATTTTGGGGGAAATAAAAATAAAAACTTTTGAATGATTTAGCAGTACTTACCTGTCTTATGCTAACCTTATGTTTCCCCATCCCCTACTCCACCATTCCCAATCCCAAATTATTTTTTGCATAATCTGCAAAATAATTTGTTTTGGTTATTTATTTCCTTAATGCAGCTGTATGTGTTTTTCCATTTGCCATTAATGTAACAAAGTTATTAAGCCTTCTTTTAGGGGGATATATGGGTAATACTGGTGTTGGTATTGTAATTGCTTTTATTTTCATTATCTAGGTTCTTGGAAAATATGGTCATAAAATTTACAATGTTAAAATTAAACTGTCTTGAGGGACAATGTACAAATAGAAAAGGGTCAGACCATATAAGACAATAGAATTTTAATCCAAAAGCTCCGCAGGAATCAGCCCAGAATTGTCAAGACTTAGTCATTCACTGCCAACTTTCCTAATTTTTGCCCTGACTTCCACCTCAGCACCAATCAGAGAGAGCCAAATATACTTCCCAAACCAATTATATACTATGCCCAACTGCTAGTTAATTTACTTCCAGCTTCTTTGTGCCAATAACCTCTTATCAAGGTATAACTGAAGTCTCCCCTTTTATCCACTACAAAGCTCCCTTGTCTGCCTTTGAGTCTACCAAATGCAAGTGATGGTGGCTGACTCCCTTGCTTTATCAAGCTCTGATTAAATGGCCTCTGTTTGTTCTTATTTGGATTGTCTTTGTTTTTTTTCACAAGCAGTATCTCAATACAAAGCACAAAAGTTAATCCACGGGCAAAGCCAAAGACAGATTGTTAATGTTCGTGATTACAGTGCACTAAGGTTTCACACAAATTGTGTCACTTGGAGTGATCCAACCAAGCATGAACCATTTTGGAGAACTGCCAATCATAGCTGCAAACATTAGTGATCAGAGGTAAAAACGGCAACAACTATGAAAGACAGATAATCTATACTGGTATTCATTTGACACTAAAAACGGCTTTCTTTCAGTTACTATTTTTGGGGCTGCCTTTTCAGTATGGCACTTCCCTGCAACCTTCCTTACCTAAAAACTGAGATTTTTGCTTCCTGAAGAGGTGTTTCCCCAGAATGTGAGATTTTTAATACTAAAAATAGGACAATCAAGCCTGAAAAGTGGTCATTCTATTTTTTGTTGTTGTTGTTTACCATATTATCATTCAACATGGAATACAAGCTAGAAAAATCTGCCAGACTTCCTAGATTCCTGTTTCTCTCATCCTTCATTCATATCCAACCAGTCCCCAGAAGTGGGCTCTATTTCCTAGAGACATGTTCACCATAAGCTAACATAGTATAAACCGGAAGCCCCTTCTGTGCATGGATCTCCTTCCCAAGCTCTGAGAGAGTCCCTGCCAATGTGTTCACATGTATATATGTTTTTCTAAAACTTTCAAAAGTTAGAATCACCATCAGTTAAGATGACTGTCTCCACAGTGATTGCTGCTCCATCACACTTCCCTTCGTGTTGGGTAATGTAAGGGTGACCACAAAGCATGTTTGGAATCCAACTAAGGGGCAACTGAGTTGGAAATACTTCATTTTTGGTTTATTGGAATATGTTGTGGTTTTCAGACACTTCTAGGAATGGTTTCATAATTGCTAGCATCCCTGCTGTAGGAATGGCTTCCAGAAGTACTCCTACCACTCATTGTGCTGACCCACCCAGCAACACAGGAGGAAGGAGAATGGCCAAAAATTTACTGCTGTATGAAGGTGTCCTCTCCCATCTGTCACTGGAACTATGAGAATAAAGGAGAAATATTGTTTAAAATGTGCAGAACCAGTAGCTAATATGTGGAAAAATCTTCCAATCATTAAATATATATATACACATTATAAAAAGAATATTTGGTTTTCATAAGTGCCTAATCAAAATGAAAGTATTTCTGGTTAGAAATATGATTTATAATGCAGGATGCATAATTATAAACCTGCCATGCTCTTTTTCTTCCTTCTTTTGATGAAAAGTGCTTAAAGTTAAATTTATCAGAAATTCTGTGTTGGCAGGGAGCAACCAGTAGCAGTACTATAAGTAACAGATACAACTTGGTGTAAAACCATATTTTTTGCATCCAAACTATCAGTAAATTTTTTAACCAATCGTAGCAGAAAAAGTCTTGATTTCTTTCTGACCTCTCTATGGAAAATAGTATTATAAAATCATTTTCATATGAAGATATTAAAAAGTATATGTCCAAAACATTTTTATATGGATAATATATGGAGATTTGTCAAGAAGGTAATTCAATTACCTATTAACTATTATTGTATTATTATAGTTATTAATCTATAGCTATTCTGTTATTTTTCTGGATTATCTGAAGTTTGTAGTATTTTTTAGCCCCCCCCCTTTTTTTTTTTTTTTTTTTTGAGACGGAGTTTTGCTCTTGTTGCCCAGGCTGGAGTGCACTGGTGCGATATCGGCTCACTGTAATCTCTGCCTCCTGGGTTCAAGCAATTTTCCTGTCTCAGCCTCCCGAGTAGCTGGGATTACAGGCACCCACCACCACACCCCACTAATTTTTGTATTTTTAGTAGAGATGGGGGTTTCACCATGTTGGCCAGGCTAGTCTCGAACTCCTGACCTCATGATCTGCCTGTCTCAGCCTCACAAAGTGTTGGGATTACAGGCATGAGCCACCGCACCTGGCCCTGTTAGCCTTCTAAAGTTGGTAATGTTTTATTATTTACTTCCTCATTATAAACAAATACTTGCTTTCATACTTAATTTTGTATTTGTAATTTTGAGCACTTTTTCTTAGAGAGAGTCTCACAGAAGTGGATTAGCTCCTGCTATTCCCTAGTCATCTCTAGAATCTGTTCCTCACTTTCACCTTCTTGGGCTGGTTCAGGAATTCATTCTCTGGCTCACAGCTCTTCTTACTCCAATCAATTCCCCCTGCTGCCACGAGAGTCAATGTTCTAAAAAACAAATTCAGTTGTCATCAGGGGACACAAAACAATGTTTTTCTCTAGGTGCCAATCATATTCCATAGTCCTGTGTTTCATCCTAAGCTCCCCAACCTAGGCTGCTTGAAGCACCACTTCACATGGAACTTCCTATATTCTCTCACACATCACTTCTGAGTGTGAGGCTTCCTCTCTCTATGACGGAAGATCTGATTAGTCCTTCATGGTCAACCTCAAGTATCACCTGTTCACTGAAGATTTGTTCAACTTATCCACCATTTATATGCCTCAGAACATCTTGTTTATTTTTCACTTCAGTACTTTTCACTCTATATGACATTTTCTTATTGATATTCACGTATCTCCTGCTAACAAGCAAGTTTCTCGAAAGCAGGGTCTTTATCTTACCACTGTATCATCAGTGTAGTATGATGCTTGCTTGATGTAGGACTCATTTGCTCATTTATTAATCTTACATATCTGCTTATATTACCTATAATACGTATCAGACATTCTGCTAGGTACTAGAGATAAAGCTTGTAGTAGATTCATGACAGATATTATTGAAATGAATGAATATATTACCTTCTGATCCTATCATAAAGATAATCACATTGCACCTTTACTCCAAGTCCTATCATCTTATCATTGTCATGGAGCAGGCAGAGAATATTTCTTCTATGTTCAAATAAGCAATTGTGGTATTAAGAAAAGGCTGAACTAGAATCAGAAGTCTTGGATTTGAGTTTCTTGGCTACAATTAATGGCTAAGGATATTAAGCAAGTCATGTAAATATCTCTGGTAATGATTTTCTTTTCTTTAAAATGAAGGAAATATTTCATACCCCATTAACACACTCTAAGAATTAAATGATATAGGTGGAATTGGTTTGTTAACAATTGTTTTACACAAATGTTAAGGTGCTATTGCTTTCAGATAAAACGTGTTACTATTCCTCTGCATCTGGTAACATCTTTCATTTGCACTTTCAACAGTAATACACTGTATTTATTATTTACTGTCCACCTGGAATGAAAATCATCAAATACTACTTGTTCAATCAAACTGCAGTAACACTCATTCTCAGAGATAATGAGATTGAACTGGAACTAAATGAAAATACATTTTGCTAAATCATAGTCACAGCCTAAAAATGAAGGTCAAAATGGAACTATAACTCTGGGTAGAGTGTGCTGGAAAATGCAGAAAATTCTAACAGGCCCATTCAAACCCAATATTATCAGATAAAAGGCCATATTGTACCTCACAATTTTAGTAAGTGTAAAATATGTTTTATCGTTTCTCTCTTCTTTTTAGAGCAATCAGGGTCTGGACCCATGGCTATTATCTCCACTACAGAACAGGACCTAAGAGGTTGCAGACCCATATTGCTTGATGTTTCTATTCATCTGACGTAAGATGTATTTCCATCATCTTTTTTTCCTTGTCATCTTTAAACACAGTCCTACTCTCTATAGTTAAAAAACATAGAATCTGATTTGATAGAGGAGACTGCCCTGTGAAATTTGAAACAATTTATGAAATACTTAATTGACTTATTGTTAATTGAGAGCTAAACCAAAATTTTAGAAATAGTTTCAAGCCATTTTACCAACCACAAAAATTGTGTATCATTTTTATAAATACAGACAAAGAAAATAAATTGAACCTCATATGGTAGAATAATGTGCATCATTTTTCAAATCCTGTTAATGTTTTTCTCTGATTCTGCTGAGAAATACCCCAGGATTTTTTTTTTTTTTTAGGGAAATTATTGTGGCAGCATTCATACTCATTTCACGGTAGAATTAACCATACAACTCATGTTTTCTGACATGGGCATGTGACCCAGACAATGTTAAAAGTGTCTTTCTCTATGATATTTCAAACAAGAATTGTTTAAAAATAGAGTACTTCCTTTGTAGTGATGCACAGAAAAGATGTGAGCCTGGGAGCCACTAGTGGCCATAATTGCAGCTTAATCGAGAAAGCCACACAGAGAGATTAAAAGCAACAACCACATAGAGAAAAACAGAACAAAATACTACAAAAGCTGGGAAGTGATGAGGTAAGATACTAGAGATCAAATTCTCCTAGACAGACAGAAAGTAAATTTCAGAAAAAGCCAAAATCAGACTCTAAAAACAAGAATTGAGGATAAATCTGAAGAATAAATAAGCAAAAATAGGAGGCTCAGGGTGAAGAGATTAGATTAAGTTTTTGGACCAGAAGATAGGCTCAGAAAAATAAAGTATATTCCAGAAGAGGTATGGAGATTTTGTGTATTCTTGTTATGCAAACCACATTGAATATTCAAGGGCACTGAGGTCAACTATACTGTTCTTAGGATGAATTCACTCTATATCAACCACTTGACGATATCAAATCCCCATCTCCTGGGGCATATTCTGTGCTTTGTTCTATTCAAAAGAAAGCAATGAATAGTTTCTTCTCCCTTACTTTTATCTTCCACAGTGGTGGGAGTGCTAGCACTCTAACAATCCTTGACTTCATTACCACATGTCCCACTTATGGCCAGGAAGATCTAAGTGGACATCCCTGGGGAGATTCTGGGAAAGCTTTTTAAGATGAATAGCCTTAGCGTTATGTCCCTTTAGTTGCTTGCACTTCTTCCATTCATCCTTCTCCCATTTTCTGCCTGGACAAAGGAAACAATGATAAAATTCATGACAACCATTTTTGGACTATGAAGATGGCAGTAACATGCTAAGCATGGTGGAGTTTCAACATGAATTTTAGAGCAGACACACGTTCAAAGCATTGTAGGTCCCTCTCGTTTCATCGATAGCCATCTTCAGCATTAGCAGATGTTCCCACAAAATGCCAAGAAAAGCTATGTCCCTTCCAGGAATCATTGTCTTTCTCCTAACATTTTTAGGTGCCAGGTAGAGTTAAGAATGTTGCGTCTGGCTGTGACAAGTTTTCTCTTGTTTAGAGTGGCAAATTTGGCCTTTCTAAAATTGTGAATGTTCATGTCATCAGGTACTCAAATATTAAGGAATCAATATATGTTTTAAACAAACTGAAAATAATTCTTAAAAGTTGATTTTGGCCTTCGTTCATTATAATTGAACTAATTTCCAATATGGATAGGGTCCAAATAACATTACTTTTTTAGAAATAAATTATACTTTCTTTATAAGAAATAGTTTCTAAGTCCCTTAAGAGTTAATTATTGTTTTCATTTGTTTTTAATTTTTAAAAACTATATTCCTTAAAGAATATTTGTAATCATTTTTCCTCTATCAGATCTTATAAAAAGAAATAGCCATGTCACCTCAGAGTCATTTTGTCAGAGTGACTCTGATGTTATCTTTGAGTTACTACCTTGTCTTTCTTTAACTTTTGTTTCTCTTTTCTTTTCAATCTGTCATATTCACTAGTGAGCATGGTATTATATAGATATTACACTGATATTTAATTTTACTATCTCCATATTTCCCTCTCATGTAAACTGAAAATTGTTTTAATGGGATTCTCATCCATTTTTAAAATAAGGTACTTGACCATCTCCATAGTAAGAAAATCATATGACATTTCTCCACATGTGTGTAATGCCCTGAATTCATATAGTTCACCTTTCTCTATGACTGATCTTATCACCTGAAATACTGCTCAATAAAACCAAATCACAACATGTTTTCCCTCATTTTTCTTATTTCTTATTTTCTTCTTCTTTATATCAATTTAATTGCTTAGTTAACAAGTATATTTCTATATGGGCTTTACTGGTTATGTGAATTTGTAGATTTATTGTGTGAAAATTTGTATTTTTCCACTTTGTCCCACTTCCCAATTAGTCAATCAAATTTCTACCTAACTGTGAAACTACTCAGTTTTCACAGGGTTGTTATGCCTTCTCTTAATTGTACATATATAAAAAGATAAATTCTCATTGTTTCAATAATTTTTAAAAAAAATTTTTCATAATGAGTTTGTGTGTTTGAATTTCTGTTCCCCAATTAGACCACGATAATTCACCCCCAGTTTAGAACAGTGTCTGGTACACATAAGGTTTTCAGTAGATATATTTTATCCGAACTCGATCATAATAGACGGAGGGGCTAGAACTAAGTCTACTTCTCCTTTCTAACTGCCCGCAAGAGCTAATAGAGTACTCAGAACATATTTAGCTAATGCTGAAAAACAGAAAATGAGACTAGAACTAAAAGTCTGGCCTTAAAAATTGACTGAACATAGGATGTTTTCCTCCCCCAAAAAAGTTAGTCCCTTATTCCTTCTATGAATTACAACAAAAAATCTCAGAAAAAATAAGTAAATATCAGAGTACCTTAAAAGTCCAGAAAAGAAAGCAAACTAGCTAGAGATTTTATGACTTGAGGAATAAGGGGGAAGTGAATTGTCTGTGTTTTGTTTGTTTTTTCCTCCTATGTATCTCTGCCTGGGTACTGGAGAAACCCACAAAACATAAATGATAATGGGAGCAGATAAAACAACAACAACAAAACCGCCACAAGGATGGTACATATATATGTATGCGCATATATATGTATGCATATATATATACACCATCCTTGTGGGGGTATATATACCATCCTTGTGGGGGTTTTGTTGTTGTTGTTTTATCTGCTCCCATTATCATATATATACACACAGAAAAGGATGGCTAATGAGACATAACCCTCTTGACTATGTACTCCCTCCAAGAAAACGCTGCACCTCTCTGTTTCCCTACTGCATCCTCCAGCCCCAGACTTTGAACAATAGCTTGTCTTTCATCCCTATTTTGCACAAAGGAGGCAGTATCCCTATCTCTCCCCACTGTGCACTCTGCCAACTGTGTGTTAGAGTCCTACCAATCATCTCCACATTGCAATAGCATGAGCAGATGTGCTTTCCCTCCCATCCACAGTGAGCATTGTGACTAGGAAGACTGTGGAGTAAAAAAGCGATGTGATCATTCCAACGCTGAACTAAGCATCAGAAAAGAAGCAGCACTCTTTTTCCTTCCTGTCATGTGCTGTGGAGCTCATGAAGTAGAGCGCTGCTACTATCCTAATCTTGCACTAGCTGAGTGACAGCAAAGATGAAGCAACCAACTCCCACCTAATTAGAAAATAGAGGCTATGTATAGGAAGAAGAGGGAGCTTCAGAAAGAGATCCTGTATATGAAGTTCTGGGCAAACTCCAGAGCGGCCATGCATGAAACCAACCAGAATCACAGGGCAAAATGTATGAGAACTGAACGATGGTGCAGAATATTGCCAAGATTTCAAGTTGGTCATTAATGAAAAGCACATAAACAGAAGAGACCAGAAGAGCACTGTAAATGTTTTGAAATCTCAATTAACATTTAAACTACGGCCCACAAAAGTTGGCCAGGACATGCACTCTGAACTTTAACAGGCATATCACCTGCTTTAGCAGATATAAATAGGAAATATTATCATATACAACTTAAAATTTCCAGAATATATTAAACATCATTTACCATGTCGACCATGAAAATATCAATTTGAGCAAGAAAATCAACAGACACCAAAGCAAGATGTATCTAATTACAACATGATGTTGCAATTATCTGATGATGATTTTAAAATCTGTATCATAAAAATACTCTGATAAAAAATTAGAAATTATTTGAATCAAATGAAAATATAGAAAATCTTGACAAAGAAATATCAGATATAAAGAAAAACGAAGGTGAAAATTTAGAACTGAAAAATACAGTAAGAAAAATTGAAAACTCACAAGATTGGTTCAATAGCAAAATGAACATGACAGAGGAAAGAATTAGCCAGTTGGAAGACAAATCAATAGAAATTATCCAATTGGAATAAAAAAAAATGCACCATTCCTCAAAAAATATGAACAATCAAAATATATCAAAGATAAAAATAGATAACATGAATAATCTTTATTAACAAAATTGAGTATCTAGTTAAAAAGCTTTTAAAAAAACACTCAGCCTAAATAGATTCAATAGTAAATTCTATCAAACACATAATTAAGAAATGACCTCAATTTGACACAATTTTATCCAGTAAATAGATAACACTTGTCAATTCTTTTAGTGAGCCCAGCATTGCCTTAATACCATAGCTAGATAACATCAATACAAAAAAACAAAATTACAAACCAATAATCCCTGTGAACATACATATAAAAATCCTCAACAAAATACTAGCAAATAGAATCCAGATTATAGATAAATTAATTACATACAATGATAAAGGCAGTTTATTTCAGGAATACAAAGCTGGTTTAGTATTTGAAAACTTACCACATTAAGAGTATAAAGAAAAAAAGACAAAAAGTTATATCAGTTGATGCAGAAAAAACATTTGCCAAAATGCAATACTCACTGATATAAAATTCTCAGCAAACTGAGAACAGAATGGAACTTCTTCAATCTGATAAAGAGTATCTATCAAGAATACACAGTTACCATCAAACTTACAGATGAAAGACTAAGTACTTTCCACCCTAAATTGGGAGAAAAGCAAAGATGTTGACTATCATCATTCCTATTTAAGTAGTATTAGAAGTTCTAGCTACTGCAATAAGGCAAGAAAAAGAAATTAAAGGCATACAGATTGAGAAATTTATTGGAAAAGAAAGAAATGTTAACTGTTCCTATTTTAACAGATGGCATGATTTGTCTATATGGAAAGTCCCAAAGAATCTATTGAAAAAAAAATATCCTAGAACTAGTAAGTGAACTTAGCAAGGTCACAGAATATAAGACCATGACATAAAAATTAAGTATATTTCTATAGAGTAGTAATGAGCTATTGTTATTAACATTTTAAAGTTACTAAATAACTCTCCAAAATGGAAAACTTCAGTATAAGTCTAACAAAACTTGTACAGTACATGTATACCTTAAACTATAAAGCACTGATGAAATAATTCAACAATGACCTAAATTGATGTAGGGATACACCATGATCATTGATTGGAAGATGCAACATGATCAATAATACAATTCTCTCAAAACTAACCTATAGTATTCTATCAATTTGTATCAAAAACTTAGGATATTTTTGTAGATATATACAAAGTAATTCTGAAATTTATATAAAAAGCAAAGGAACTATAGAAGAGTTAAAACAATTTGAAAATGAATAATAAGGTTTGAGAAATCACATTACTGGATTTTAAGACTTTCTACATACTTTACAGTAAGTGTAAAAGAAGCATGAGTAGGGGGACTGACACAAATACCAGTGGAGCAAAATAGGAAGTTCAGTAATAGGCAAACCAAAGTACTCACAACTGATTTTTGACAATGATTCAAAAGCAATTCAATGTAAAAAGGATAGTTTTCTAACAAATGAAATAATTGGACATCCCTAGGCAGAAAATAAGCCTCAGTCTAAACTTACAAATTGTATAAAATATTAACTCAAAATAAATTAGAGATATAAATAACCTAACACTAAAATTTTTAGACAAAAACACAGGAGAAAATCTTTGTTACTTTGGGCTAGGTGACACATTCTTAGACATGATGCCAAATGTACAATTTACAAAAGAAAATATTTATTAATTAAACTTCACTAAAATTGAAACACTTTGTTCTGTAAAATATCCTGTTAATAGGTTGAAAAGACTAGCCACAGACTGGCAGAAAATATATTGCAAATTGCTTATGTTACAAAGGGCTTGTTTCTGGAATATGTAAGGAATATGTAAGGAACTCATATTCAATCAGAAAATGGGCAGAAGTCTTAAACAGACATTTAATCATAGAAGATACATAAAAGGCAAAAAAAATCGCATGAAAAGAAAAATACTAGCCATTAAGGAAATGCAGATTAAAGCTATGATGAAATAACACCATAAATGTATTAGAATGGCTAAATTAATAAATTCTGACACTACCAAATCCTGGTGTTAGGATACAGACCAACTGGATCTTTCACATACTCCTAATGGGAATAAGAATGGTGTGACCTCTCTGGAAAACAGTCTGAAAGTTTCTCATAAGTTTAAATATACACATATCATATAATCCTGGGTATTTATAATAGAGAAATAAAAACTCACGGTCATATTAAAAACCCATCCATGAATTTCCATAGCAGCTTTGTTTTTAATAGTGAAAAACTAGAAGCAATTTAAATGTCCTTTACCAAGTAAGTGAGGTATAAAAGAGGTGGTACATCTGTGCAAAGTAATCCTACTCAGGAATAAGAAGGAATAAACTATTGATATAAGCAAATACTTTAATGAATCTCAAGGGCCCTATGTTAAGTGAAAGAAACTGAACCAAAAATGAGTACATACTATATGATTACATTTATGCTAAGTTCTAGAAAAGTTTAAATGATAAAAGTCTAAAACAGACCCATGATTGCCAGGGGTTAGGTTTAGTGGGGAGAGTGTGAAAAGGCTGATTTGAGATTATGAAACATTTTTCTATTTTGATTGTGGTGGTAATTATATTAATCCATATCTATGATGAAATTTCATAGAATTAAACTTTTTAAAAATATGTGTAAAAATATGAAATCCAATTAAGTTTTGTAGTTTACTTGATAATACTGGTCCAATGTCAATATTTTGACTTTGATAATATACGATGGTTATGTAAAATGTCATCATTGAGGAAACTGTGTAATGCAAATTATCTGTATTTATTTTGCAAAGTTTTATGAGTCTTAAATTTTTCAAAACAATTTTTTTATAAAAAGTCATTCTCAATGGTTGCATAATTTATGATTTCATTTATTTAGCCTATTAAAATAAAAAAAATTTGTGATAGAGAAAAAAAATCAGTGGTTTCCAGGGATCAGGATTAGGAAGAGGGAGTAACTACATACAGGTAGCATGAGGGAGTTTCTCTGGAGCACCAGAACAGTTTTCTATCCTGATTTTGGTGGGGGTTATACAAATCTATACATGTGATAATATTTCATAGCATTTTGTAACAACCACCATGAAAAACCCAAAGGAAAAAGAAATAAGTAAGTACAAAAACTGGTGAAATCTGAAAAAAAAAATCAGATAGTTTGGTTTATAATATTCAATTTTCTGTTTTTAAATTACACTATATAACATTTATAAAATGTTATCATTAGGGGAACCTGAGTGAAAGGTACACAGAAACTCTCTGTACTGTTCTTACAATATTTAAATCTAAAATTGTTTCCAGACAGCAGTTTAAAAATTGACTCAATATAGAAAATAGAGTGATTTTTGGTGTGAATTCTTAACTCAGAAGTCTTTTTCCTGCTCCTACCTGATGTCATCTGTTGCCTAACAACCTTATTCCTCATTGAGAGGCATTACAAATGGGAAAACGCCACTGAATTACTTCTCACTGACTGTAAAGCAATCACATTATTACTTGGCAACCAGCCCAGGGTTATGGGCAAGAAGTTACTCAGAAAAAAAGCTCAAATTCAGTTTTTATTTGAAATTTCCCCTAAAATAGAAGGATGTTCATCAACACAGAATGGGAGCATGCACAGCTTGATCGAACATAAGACTGTATGTAATTTTACTGAACTATTATAGAAGATTTCTTGTCAAGCTTTCAAAAAGTAGTAAAACAATAATATTCTGAAACATTTGATTCATATTTAATGAACAACATATAAACAGTTCAAATTTAAGTAAACACTGTAAAATCATTTCCTAAGCAAGCTACTATTTTGTTTCAACCAGGGAACTAATAATATTCGGTAGGAGTGTGCTCTAATAATGATTAGTAAAACTCTACAGTTTATCATGGAAAATAAATCAAATAAAAGACAATAAAATACTAACTATACTAAAATAATGTTTCTTTCTACCATAAACATAAAGCAAACAGCTTGATATTCCTGCAAATACCAGATAAAACGAGATATGTTTCTGGAAAATTAACCCCTTCGAACATTTCTTTATAGCCCCAAATCTCCAAAATTTAAATTTTGACTCAGTTTTGTGAAACAAGCAGCATCTGGGAAGAAGTGATGAAAATGTATTACTGTGATGACATATATTTATGTCAGGAATGTGGAATTCACATGTAAAATATGACAATATTTAACTTTACTCAATCCCTATTTTCCCAATACACACTGATAATTAGGAAATCTGCCCCTAAATTTTTGTCTTCTAAAATTTCCCCAGCCAGGGTGGGCACAGTGCCTCACGTCTATAGTCCCAGGCACTTATGAAGCTGAGCCAGGAGGATCACTTGAGCCTGGAGAGGTGGAGGCTGCAGAGAGCCATAATTGCACCACTGCACCCCAGCCTAGGCGAAGTTTTTGAGACAAGGTCTCAAAAAAAAAACAAAAACAAAAAACAAAAAACACAACAAAACAACAACAACAACAACAACAACAAATCCAGGCTTTTGCATTCAGGAAACATCTTTCCATAAAGAACCACATTTCCCCATAAAATTCAAATAAGACTCATAGTACACTCTTTTACTGACTCCTATAAGATTTGCATATGACTTCCTTTAATATCTGGTTAGAAAAGACCAAAGAGAGACCCTCTAAATTCTTATTCTGTGTCTCAAGAGTGATTAGCTAAGATTTGAACTATTTGTCCCCTTGAAACTAGCCAGACACACAGATAAACATTTCCTGTTGAGCTAAATGACTGAGACTTCCCTTGATTGTAAAGCAGTCACAACTCTAAATCACACCACCTGAAAATTGTCTACTCCTCCCTATGAATGTCTAAGGCAAAAATCACCCTGCCAGGACACTAATCTTCAGATCTGCAGTGCTTTCCCTATGGCAATAGGCTGTACAAAATCTCTCCTTAATTATCTGGTGCACACTAATCTTTGACAAAATAAAATGCAGTAAGGGGTTTTGATTTTGCTTAATGATATACTGTTTTGTATAACAAATGATTCCAATGTAAGATTTAAATTTTAATAAATTTCTAAATTAGTAGCAATTTTTTAATGAATATACTTTAGAAAGATTGCAAGGTTGAACCTTAGCTGTATAAAAGTACCTACCACTTTCTAAAACATTTTAAAATTTATTTTTAATTGAAAAATAATAACTGTATATATTATACATTAAGGGTTAAATATGATATTTTTATACATGTTTACATTATTTAATGATTTACAAGCACTAATTAAATAAATTCTAAAACCAGCTTAAATCTCAAGAAGTCTTTCTCAGCCAATCAGAATATGTCATCAGTGAATGGGTTCATAAGTCAGTACATAAGGAGATTTCCTGCCAACTCAAAACTACACCTTTAATAAATTAGATGTAACTTCCTAATATTGAATTTGTAACTCTACAATAATTATTCCAAGTATGTTTGGGTTAAACTAGGTCCATCATATCAAGAAAAAAGAATTGAGAAGGGACCAAAAAGCTATTTCAATCTCCCTCTTCTACATGCAGTGAAGATATGAAATATTTTAATATTGCAATCTCTTTTTTGGTTTTCTGAAAAACAACATGTAAATAAAAACAAAGGGGTAGGCATTAGGATACTGAAAAGAACCAAATGTCACACTGTGCAGAAAAAAAGTAAAATATCTCATTCATCTCTGACAGGGAAAGGTAGAAGTGATAAGTTATTTGATGGAAAGACTGAGGATAGAAAAGGAACTCTGTTAAAAATGGGAAAAAAGAAAGTTTTCACTATAGTGTTTTTTTCATCTATTAAGGATGAATAGATCACATTTGATTCAAAGCTGGTGTTAATTTTGTAGACCATGATTCTTTATTCTTGTCACCAATACTTGTAGTTTCCAGTACCTCAGTTGACAATGTCCTATTAATTTAATGAAAGGTCTTAATCTCAATCAAGAAGATTTGAGTATCAAGACACTAAGAGTCTGTCCATTTCCATTGTAACTACCATCGTCCAATCCACCATTATTTCTTACTTAGACCACTGCCACACCTCCAAATTTGTCATCCCAAATCCACTACAGACTCTACTCCCAACCAAATCCCCTTTCTCCAGTTATGGCTGGAATTTTTTTTTTAATTTCAAATATGATTTTTTTCACTGTTACAACTAAATACTTTAAAAGTTATACATTGTTCCTATATTTTAAGTCTAACTTTCTGAACATGTTGTTTCTGATGTTAAAATTCTTCCCACTTCTTTCAAGGTCATTTCTAACCACTCCCATCACTGAATACAAATTAGTCATTCTGTGCTGTCTATTTCTATAACTGCCCTTCATTGTTTCTCCTCAAGGCATGTGCATTTTCCTTGCCTAAAATATTTCTTTTCCCACGTTGGCTTATTCTTATTTGACCTCAGCCCTCATTTTAATTTTATTTCTCCAGAGAAGCTTTTCCTGGCCATTCCTCACCTCCTAAATTAGATTTAGTTTACTCTCACACAGCAATCTTTACCGTCATAGGGCCATCAAATCATAAAGAAATCACTAAGTTTTCATTAGACCATGATATCAAAGCAGACTGGCAGGATAATTGCTTGAATGACAATTTTTAAGAATCCTCCTATTAGTGAAAAAGACTTGAGTATCAGGATATTAACATTAAGACCTTTCATTATATTCTTAGGAGGTTGTCAAAAGACAAGTGCTTCATGTACAGATACTAAGATTGAAGGAAATTTCCCAGTGACCATTCAAAAGTGCTCAGACCCATCCAAGGGAAATTGTTCCACATTATTAAGTAGATAAAGGAGGGTTATAGAAAACCCAAAAGGACAAATTACCCTTTGTGGAACAAAATGAAGTAGTTGTAAATATTGGCTGAGTGAGACACTCTCCTTGGCAGCATTAGAAACTAGATCAGCATTTCAGAAAAAATTCGCAATTCAGAAAGGCAATAAATTGTAGGACAAAATCAGAAACAGTAGTCAGAATGATTTTACAACCCTTCCTAAGAGCTATTCTTGACTATTCCTGAGTGTTTTAAGAGGTTTGGAAACTGTTTTGTGGTGAAAAAGTTCTTTTTTCTGTTTATTTTTTAAATTTAATTCACTTTTTGTTAGAATTTCATAAAGTACAATACTAATCAATACAAAATATTGCTAGGCAAAATAATTTTTCAGATAAAGAAAATTGATTTTTACTACTATTACGGCATGCATTCTTAGGGTTTTATCAATGTGGAAAAGTGGATAGAACTTGGATAAAATAATAAATTTTGTTGTACTTCTGAGTTGGGGAGATGGAAGTAGAGAAAACTTCCAAGAGGCAAAAAAATAGTTGAAATCTGAGCTTGGAGTAGGAAGCACAGTAGAAGTGTAGGTAAAATTCTAATATCAAGATTGCTTAAGGGAAGAGGAGGGAGTGACCAGTCTGCTAGCTTGAGCCAAGGAATCTAAAGGAGATGTCTTTAGATTTAAATTTAGGGTCTCAGATTGATGATACTGCCTGTCTCACAAAGAAGCAAAAGCAAGTTTTACTGGATGAAATAATCTTCAATTTAGGCCTCAGTTTTTACAAATGTTAAGAACAACCAATATGAGCTTTTATCAAAGATAGTCAAATTTATCAGAAAATCATTTTTTGAGAAACAGCCAGCCCAAAAAATTGCCATTAATTGTATATGTATAAAAATGTTAAAGAGATAAACAATACAATCATATATATATGAAATTTTTAAAGAAACAAGAAATGCATTGGCAAGAAACATGAAAAATAAAAAAGATAATCCAAAATTACAAGATAGATTTCAAAACAAACGAATAAGATCATTTAGAAATAAAAATTTTGAAAATATATATGTATAATTGTTGAAATAAAAAACTCAAAGATGACAAACTGATTAGACTTACCTAAAGGGAACTAGAAAATATACCTAAATTTATCAAAACTAAGTAACTAGAAGTTAGACTTGAGTCTCATTCCCAAGGTACCTCATTATGAATATGCATATATTCTAAAATCTGAAAAAAAAAGTGAAATCCAGAACACTTCTGGTCCCATGTATTTTGGATAAGAGATATTCAGCTTGTACTGAAAATAAATAATTGACAACCTAGAACTCAACATCAAGTAAAAGTAACTGATATGGTTTGACTGTGTCGCCACCCAAATCTCATCTTGAATTGTAGCTCCCATAATCCCCACATGTCATAGGAGGGACCTGGAGGGAGTTAATTGAATCATGGGGGTGGGATTTTCCCATGCTATTCTTGTGATAGTGAATAAGTTTCATGAGATCTATGGTTTTATAAAGGGCAGTCCCCTGCATACACTCTCTTGCCTGCCACCATGTAAGACATGCCTTTGCTCCTCCTCCTTCTGCCATGATTGTGAGGTCTCCCCAGACATGTGGAACTCTGAGTCTTTTAAATCTCTTTATAAATTACCCAGTCTCAGGTATTTCTTTATAGAAGTATGAAAATGGACTAATACAGTATCTTTCAAGAACAATAATAAAATAAATATTTTCAAACAAAGAAAAATTGGAAGAACTCACCAACAGATGAATGCTAAATTTACTTCTGAAGGGCATAGTTCAGAAAGATAGAAGTACATCCATCTTAAAGTGAGAAGTGCATGGTTAGTGGCTGATAAGCTGCTCAATAAGCTGTGGCAGTGGTTCTTGGGAGAGGTCTTGGCAGACTTGATAGACAACACTTGGCACTTTAGAGTTGGCTTCTCCTTTCAGTTTTACATAAGACATTCCAACTCTACATATAAGACAAGGCTCACAATGGGATGGA
The DNA here is from genome assembly GCF_000001405.40 of Homo sapiens. NCBI lineage: Eukaryota > Metazoa > Chordata > Mammalia > Primates > Hominidae > Homo > Homo sapiens. The sequence goes on from NC_000002.12 coordinate 188,095,402, forward strand.
GCCTCACAGATTTCCTGCTGAGGGACGGTAGAGGGCAAATCTGGAAATGTAAAGATTGTAGGGATGAGAGTTCCTCCAAATTCTTCAGTACGTCACAGATATCCTATATCAGTGAGCAGAATTCTATTTCTTGCTTTGTTTCTTTGATTTAAAATAGGTTAACAGTTTCTCAGAAAAAAAAAAAGGACATTAAGCACTTTTTTCAAAATTCATCTGAAATAACTGATCTCTGAGTAAAGAATTAAGCACCTTGGGGGGAAATTTCAGCAGCTGAGTT